>NC_000010.11:81506731-81658246 GCF_000001405.40 Homo sapiens
CCACAAACCCACCGGGAGGAATGAGCAACTCCAGACGCGCTGCCTTAAGAGCTGTAACACTCACTGGGAAGGTCTGCAGCTTCACTCCTCAGCCAGCAAGACCACGAACCCACCAGAGGGAAGAAACTCCAAACACATCCGAATATCAGAACGAACAAACTCCAGACACGCCGCCTTTAAGAACTGTAACACACACCACGAGGGTCCACAGCTTCATTCTTGAAGTCAGTGAGACCAAGAACCCACCGATTCTGCACACACTACCTTATAATAGGGCCTTGTGTCCAGAGGTTGTGGCCAATGTAATATATTTCTCTCTTCCTGGACTAACTATAAAATGCTCCCTGCAGTCTTCTACTCTGTCTTCTCTACTGAATGTCTTTATGCGAATAATCTGAGAGAAAGACTCTGAGAAATTCTCTCCAGGCCGGGCGTGGTGGCTCATGCTTGTAATTCCAGAACTTTGGGAGGCCGAGGTGGGCAGATCACCTGAGGTCAGGAGTTCGAGACCAGCCTGACCAACATGGAGAAACCCCATCTCTACTAGAAATACTAAATTAGCTGGGTGTGGTGGCGCATGCTTGTAATCCCAGCTACTCAGGAAGCTGAGGCAGGAGAATCACGTGAACCTGGGGGGCAGACAGTGAGCCGAGATCACGCCATTGCACTCCAGCCTGGGCAACAAGAGCAAAACTCCATGTCAAAAAAACAAAAGAAAGTCTTTCCAGTCAGCGTCCTGGAATCAAAAGGCGAGAGAATCCTGGAGGTCTGATAGGATCTAGGCATTAGAATAATCACTCAGGAGAACTGCCTAACTTGCATTATTGTGTGATATGAGCAACAAACAGACTTTTACTTTGTTAGGCCCCTGGAATTTGGGGATATTTGATCACCAGATAGCTTAAAACACCCTGATTTAGAGCATTTAATATAATATTTGTTAAATATTTTTAAAATGTAACATATTAAATTTGGTATTTCATTTTATATTAGCTAGCTAAAATTATTATCACAAACATCTGATAAATTTTGTCATGCTTTTTGGATCTAAGGAGATAAACATCATACTTTTTCTTCTTAGACTTTTCTTAATATTGTAAATTAGATTCATAGATTTTCTGATGTTGACTGATCATCCTTGCATTCAGAGGATAATCCTAGATGAGAAGGATAATTTTTTAACACACTGAGGAATTTGTAGACACACACACAGAGTTTTGTATTCTATCTTTGGACCTCCTATAATCTAGTAGCCTAGAACACCCAGGATAATCCTTTTAAAATATAAAACATAAACCAGCTCCTTACCTCTACATCTTCCAATGCTTCCCTATATCATTTCCAAATACCTGTAAGGCCATTTTGTAAAATCCTCCCATTTCCCGTGTTACTAACTGCTCTAGCCACACTATCCTTCCACTGTTCTTTGAAGCACAAGTTCTGCTACCTATTTACTTGTTATTGTTTTTGTGTCTGATATACTTTATACACACAAAATTATTTTTTTAATTTTTACTTTATTCACCTCATTACTCAAATATCATCTCTTTTATGCCAGTTCTTAGACTTGGCAGCCAAGACAACCTTGCTTATGTTATCTATTGGGGGTATACTTCAGAAAAAGGGAAGTGAAGGAAGGCAGAAAAGCAAGGCAAAAGCTAAAAAATATATATGGTATAAGCATGAGATTAGCTTCAGTTTGATCTCAGAGTGTTTTGGTTTCTTGGAAGCAGACTTGGAGCTAAAAGGTTGAAGAAGATATATCAGGTATACTCTCAAGAAATAGATTTCTATGAAAGCGGGGAATTCAGATTTGGGCAGACAAAGAAAACGGGACCTACACTGTGAATTCAGTAACCCTCAGGCCAATCTTGTGTGGAGCTAGCCCTTCAGATCTGTCCCAAATTGAGGCAGAACCCTACAGTATTCAGTTCTCACCGAAAAGCTCTGTCCCACAAATTACTGCACAGATTTAATCCCACCTTCAAAAGTAAATCTCTCCAGCACAGTTAGTCAATGGCAAAGTGGTTTTTTTTTTTTTTTTTTTTTTGGTGGGATGAGGGCGGTAAGGGTTGCTTCCCAGACTAAGACTTGTTTGTCCAAGAACAATTTTCTAGAAAATAAGGCAGCTATGATTTGTTAATATACTACACTGACAGCACCTGGGGGAGGTATGCGCCAGTTAAAAAAGAATACTTTGGAAGTCTCTGACAGTATCCGGTACAGTCCACTCTTTGCACTGCTCTTTTATACTTCCTGTTCACATCAAAGTATGTCTGGAAGGAGTGAAATTACATGGCTGGTCAAATTTTCTGGGAAGACATACAAAAACAGGGTTAGTGGGATGAGCTTCAGCCCTTATTGCAGGCCATAACCTATATTTATCATGTTTTTTCTCCTTCCTATTTATTTACTAGAGTGAGAATTAGTGTGTAGCACTGATAGCACTGACTTCATCATCTAATCAGAGAGGCCTTTCCTTATCATCCCATGAAAAAAAACAGAAAAACCTTGTATGCTTATTTTGATGTATTTTTGGCTATAAAATTTTAATTCCTACAGATGCATACATAATGATGGTTTTATTATCTGTTTTCTCTCATTAGATTGCAAGATCCATGTTAATCATAATTTGACATTTTAAAGTTCAGTACTCCATACCCAGAGCCTAGAACAGTTTCTCTCATATAATAAATATTCAATGGTTACATTAAGATCTTTATATTTTTGTTGATAAATTAAATGTAACTTTTATTTTATGTTTTAGAGCAGTTTTAGTTTCACAACAAATTCAATGGAAAATGCTGAGTTCTCAAATAACCTCTGCTCAAATATATGCACATTTGCCTCTATAAACATCCTAACCAGAATGGTACATTTGTTACAATCAGTAAGTCTACATTGATATATTATTATAACCCAATGTTCTTAGTTTACATTAGGGTTCACTCCTGGTGTTGTGCATTCTATGAGTATAGACAAATGTATAATAAAATGTATCCATTCTTATAGTATCACACAGAGTATTTTCATTGGCCTAAAAATCCTCTGCATTCCACCTATTATTAGGTTGGCGCAAAAGTAATGGCAATACTGCCAAAAGTTATGGCAACACTGAAAAGGCAATAAGCTGCCATTCAGATCAGCTTATTTCACTTCCTAATAAGCATTTATGATTCCTCCATGGCTTTTCATGGCTTGATAGCTCATTTCTTTTTATTGCTGAATAACATTCCTTCGTCTGGAGTACCAAAGTGTATTTATCTTTTCACATACTGAAGGACACCTTGGTTTTCTTTTAAGTTTTAGGACTTATGAAAAAAGGTGCTGTAAACATCCATGTTTAGGGTTTGTGTGGACATATGCTTTAAAATCACTTAGGTAAATACTAAGGTATGCAAATGCTGGATCATATTGAAACAGACCCAGTTATCCTATAGAGCTGATGTTTATTATTTCTTTTCTTTTTTTTTTTTTTTTTAAAGACGGAGTCTCACTCTGTTACCCAGGCTGGAATACAGTGACGCAATCTCGGGTCACTGCAAGCTCTGCCTCCCGGGTTCACACCATTCTCCCACCTCAGCCTCCTGAGTAGCTGGGACTGCAGAAGCCCACCACCACGCCTGGCTAATTTTGTTTCTGTATCTTTAGTAGAGATGGGGTTTCACAGTGTTAGCCAGGATGGTCTTGATCTCCTGACCTGGTGATCCTCCTGCCTCGGCCTCCCAAAGTGCTGGGATTACAGATGTGAGTCACCGCACCTGGCCTATTTCTTTGAATAAACACAGAAATTGATCCTCCCAGTCTTAAAACCTAAGAAAGTTAAATTAGTCTTATCTGAGTTCCTTTCTCAGGAAACCAACTATTAGGCCTTCTAGAAAGTAACAAGGAACAGAAACTCCCTAGATCACTGCTTCCTGTTGACCAACTCCTCTTATAGGTCCCTAATTCCTGTTTTCCCACACCTGTTTACATTTGTTCCCTGTTGCATAAACCACTAATTGTACTTGTTCAGGGAGATGGATTTGAGACTGATCTCCCATCTCCTCACCTGCAGCACCCAAATAAAGACTTCTTCCCTGGCAGTACTCCTTGTCTCAGTAATTGGCTTTCTGTGCAGTGAGCAGCAGGACCTAGACCACATCCCTGGTGTTTCAGTAACAATATGGTAAAATTATGTTTCATTTTATAAGAAACTACCAAACTGTCTTCCAAGGTGTCTATATAATTTTGCATTCCCACCAGCAATGAATGAGAGTTCATTTTCATTTTATGCTATCTTCACCTAATTTTGAAAGTAAAGTTAATATTACTTAGTCAATTGAACAATATTTTGGTGTGTTTCTTTTTAGAATAAGTTGAAAGGAATTCACCTATGGAATCATCATTGTCCAAAACTTTAGGAAAACTGTTGTTACCACTAAACTATCTTTAAAATTTACAGGCAAATGTAGAAGCGAATATAAGTTTACAGTGTCAACTTGGGTTTTTTTTTTTTACTATATATAGGCATTATATAGCATTATATAGTATGATCATCATAATATTCCTTTATCAGTATGCCTTTTAATGGTATAATCTATCTTTTTTGTTTTCTTTCATTTTTAAATTTTATCTTTTCTGCTAGAGTCAATCTTACTAATATTAAAAATAAAAATAGTTTGTAGTTAAATTTTTCTGTTTTGTTTTTTTCCTCTGTGTCAGAAATTTATACTCTTTGTTTCTCTTAATCTGTTCTGTATTTTTTGAATTTTATTGAACTTTTTTTCTGTGCTAGATGTAAATTCTCATCTAGTTTGCAATTAATCCTTCACGTTTCTTGATTATGTATTCCATTTTCTCTGCAAATACTGTTTTAATGTATGTATTTTACAAATTTAAATATATGTGCATTTGTATAATTTTCATTCATGGTGAATATTTAAAAATTTTAAGATATTTATTATTTATTCTCAATTACTTAAGTGTAATTTAGTAGATCATTGTTTATTTTCCAAATATATAGAATTGTAAAAGACATTCCTTTATATGTGATATTTTTATTTTATTATCAGCTTAGAACATAGTCTTATGGTGTTAATTCCTTGGAATTTATTCAGGCATAGTTTGTTAGCTAATATATGGTCAAATTCTGTGACTGACCATTTGTGCTTTTAAAGAATATTTGCTTTTTTTCTCTGTTTAGATAATTTTTTTTTTTAGTGCAACAGACAGTCCTTTTGCTCATGAACACAGTCATATATAGGAAACAATCCACCAAGTTTTTAATCTCAGTTTCATGAATGATTAATGGGTAATTTCCTCACTTATCAGCAGAGATAAAAAGCATTATGATTTTAGAAGGCTGTTACAGGGAGTAAATTAGCAGTGTTACTTATTACGATGTAATCTATTACTATTGTTTAATAGATATTAGCTTTTAGTATATTGAAAGTATGCAAGTCATCTATTTCTTTACTTCCTTAATAACACAAGGTGAAAAAATTATTTTTTTCATTATGGTGGACAGGATTAGATAATTAAAGTGTTTACTAATCATTGGGTCTTTTTTTACTATTACCCATGCATTTCTCATTTTATTAGTTTATATCTATGGAAATTAAAATATATTTTGTATTGGAATTCTACCTATAAATCATTTTACCTCTCTTCTTGGTAAACATTAACAAATTTAATTCTATTTTTTTGTATTATATACCATTTCCTATTACACCAAATTGTTGCACATATTTTTTATTAGTCCCTTAGGGTAATTTTTTCTAAGTAAAATGGCATGAACATTTTCAGAGCTTCTAATAAATATTTCTAAATTGAACTAAAGTAAGTTTCTAGTAATTAACATGCCTGTCAGCAGTGATTGAATGTGCTCATTTTTTCTCACCTTCCACCTAGTGAATTAGATTTTAGAAATTCTTTTCAAATTCAATAGGCAAAAAATTGGTTTGCATTCATGCTAAAATTGCATTTTTTGATTGCTAGTGAGTTTGAATATTTATGCCCATGTCCACTTGCCATTTTTATTTATTTTAGTAAATGGCCTATTATAGGCTTTGTTAATAATTCCAGTTGTGTTTTCACCTTCTGATTAGTCATTTTAAGAGTACCTTATAAATACCCCATCATCTGTTTTCTTTATTTAGGGTTTTTTTCATTTTAAATGTGTCCAAGGTAAGTATGGAAATACAGATTATTTTAAAAATTAAAGTAGTAAGATTGATCAATATTATCTTAATAGTTTTTATTTTTCCTCTAATGTTTAGTTGTGCTTGTTGTGATGTGATGAATTAAGTATGTGCTACTTCATTTTTTGCAAGACTTTAAAAAATCTTTTAAAATAATTTTCTTCTTATAGTTTCCATATATTTCTTATTACATTGTAACTATATAGCATATATTTTTGTTTTAAATAAAATAATCTTGCTTTTAGCAAAAGCATCTTCCAGAATAATCTTAAGTGCTTTTATACCAGATTATATAAAACCTATTGTCTTTCCAATATATTTTAAAACATTACCATTTAAAATTGTGTAACAATTTCTACAGGAATCTCAACTTTATTTTTGTATTTCATATATATGACATTATATATAATGTTATACATAATATATATGTAATTATATGTTTTATATATAATTGTTGTATCACATGTATAACATTGAGTCACTGTATTTAAAAATTATAATTTTAAACATATCTTAGTTTCATTTTTGAATGGTAGAATAAGAAATCTACAGCTAATGTATTAAAATTTTCTTTAATCTTTGACAAAAATAGTGATATACAAACTACAACCCCAGAGACTCTGATTCATTGGTTCCTATATGGTGCCCCAAATTCTTAAGTCCTAATGCTCCGCTAGTAAAGTCGATCGCCTAAATATGACATAACTTTCCTTATTCCTGAATTAAATTAGATTATTTCTTTTATTTCACTTATTCCTGAATTAAATTAGATTATTTGTTTTATTTCAAAATTAACAGAATGCTAGGGAATGCCTTATTTAATGTGTTTGATTATTTATATAAAACTGACAGTCTTTTTAAAATCGTTTTACTCTAATAGAAATATTTATGATTAAATATGTGGTTAGAAGTATCTTATATAACCTTTCCCATCTTTCAACTAAAATATTTATTATCAAAAATAGAAGACACAAATAAAACAAGATGTATCAATCAACAAATGACTATAAGAATATTTATGAAACCGACTTTAAAAATAAAACATGACTGAATTTTTTTCTGGTGAAGTTTCACTAAGTTAAATAGAAACTACATCATACAGAAAACAAGAGAAAACTGAATCAAGACGAAGAATTGATATCTATCTTTCTTCCTACACCCAATCCCTAAAAACTATATTTAAAAAGAGTTAATAGGAAAATATTGCTGAAATATTAAAATTTATCAGTTAAGTCCACTCATCTGGAAGAAAACTTATGAAGTTTTATGTCTACTCTCTGATCAAGATAATCTCTTTGTTTTCAGTAATGAAAAATGTAACAGACATTTTTTCCTATTCATATTTACTCATTTCATTCCTCTGATAGTGAAAAGGCTTAACACTAAGATATTTTTTCCCACATATTTCTAAAATAAAATACCTTAATTACTTTCGTTAAAATCCCGTCACTGATCAGTTTTTCAATCTCTCTACATTTACACATTAAAACATTTTTAACACATAAAATTAAATTTCTGTTGTACTTAAATGCAGTTATGTTCCAAATAATGACTAAATATTCTGTCTAGCTTGATGCTTTTGAGATTTGCTAAAACTCTCACAGCAGGGAAACGTTAAGAGCCAAGGTGATGTTTTTTGTTTTAGTTTCTGAAAGTTTCCTTTCTATACTTTGCCAGTATTATTTTGGGGAATATGACCTCTGCCTTTTAAATATCAGAAAGAGAGTTTACATTCTATTATGCTTTTAAAGATATAGTGGCTTCTCATCTTCTTGCAAGTGCTTTTTCTCCTTTGACAATCAAGCAATCTGTTAGTTGGCATATTATGATAATATGATTACTTCCAATGATACAAATTAGATATATAGGAGGGTTTGGTGATGTCATCAGGTCAAATAAAATTGTGAATTTAAAAGGGCATTAGAAGTCATCTTGTTCAACTTCCTAAATTAAAAATTGAAGAGCTAGTGACTCAGAGAGCAGAAATGTTTGTCTGGGTCACTCCAACAAAACAAAACATGGAGGCAAAGAACAGAACTTGGGTCTTTCAATACCTAAACCATTCATTGCTCTTTCTGCTATTGAACTGTGCCTGTTGTATGGAAGCAGACCACAAAAATGGCAGCAAATACCATGTTGTAAGTGTGGTAACCATTATGTGTAGCATAATATAGAATGGTGTAATGCATACCATTCAAACAAAACAATGGACTCATTCATACTCCTTCAAATGTATCCCTTGCTACTGAACTCTTCCATCCCCAGCCTTGTGCTTTTGTGACTTGACTTCTTAGTGAGGAAAACCAAGCCTCTGTATTTGTACAACGTTTTTACTGATCACGTATTATCAAGTATCTAGCTCTTTAGATTAAGCATACCATTTAGATAATGCAGAGATAGAAATTGGGTATGGGGAGTGGAAAGATAGTGGACATGTAATAAACAGATAAGGGTTCTGACATGAGCTAAATATTTACTGCTTGTGTGACTTTGAATAAAAGTCTTTTCTTCTCTAAAACAGTTAATTTTTTAAGAATCTGAGGCAGTCAAATGAGCTAGTGTGTGAGAAATGATTTCCATAAAATATATGCTTTCTGGTACATCTAAATTTGATGTAATAGTTGTATCATGTTGTTTAGTGATAAATATGTAGTTTTGTTAATAAGCGGGCTACAAGGTCATTATATTTATTATTCAATTGATAAGAGTAGGAGCTATTATTTTTCTGAATCTTTACTAAATTCAGATTCTTTATATGAACTAAATTAATAATCACCCTTTAAAAACTTCTATGATGTAGACATTGCCTAACTTACAGATGTGGAAACAGTAGTTCCAGTCTAAAATGTATATGAATGGAAAAAATATTGTAGCTGTATAATGTCCAGGAAAAAAGATAAAAATGTGATATTTTCTGAGAGCCTTTTATGCTGAGTGCTGAGCTTTTTAAATTCAGTAATTCATTTTCTAAAACAAAATCCTATTCTAATGTGAATACCATTGTATCCTTTAACGATATGTGCTTATGGGTGTTTTAAAAATTTGTGAATTGTCATAAAATATTAAAATATTACTAATAATCTATAGGAATTTGATAAGCATTAATGCAATTTTTATTTTATGGTAAAATTATCTTAAGTGTTTATTCAGAATGGAAAATGGAAAATAATTATTTGCAGCAATTACACATATAATACATCCTAATACAAGGGGAAATTTAACTGGGAGAGAAAGTAGATCTAGATTTTTTAAACAGTAGGCTGCTGCTTCCTGCATTGTGAATTAAACTGAATGTTATTTAATCAATACTAGCAATATATTTAGAAAGAGAGTAAGCATTAGGTAGCGGAGAATTTCTACAAAACATATGCCCACATATTAAAAATATAACAACAGCAAAAATCAAGCACTTATTGCATCCACATCAATTTTCCACCCTGTTTATTTAACAATCATTGCGATTTTCTATTTAATTATACTAAACTCATAAAAGCAGAACTGAAGTTTTGTACAGAAGTATGTATATTACTTATTTTTTGAATTGGTTAAGGAGTTTGATGTATTTAAGCAACATAAAGACTTGACAGTTATATTTATCTCATATCTTCTTTCTCCAATTTCATAATCACTTGGTCCACAAAAACTGATTGTTATTAAGCATTGCGGTGAGCATGAGATCTATGGCTTTCAAATCCCATGAAAAACAAGCAACTACTTCAATATTTTTAAATATTGCAAATGCTATAGAGACTTCCAAATGCATGTGAAGTAGAATTTTGTAGAAGTAGCTTATTAGCAGATGGTAGAATCAGCTTTCTTTATTTGTATTTTTTAGATAAATAAACAGAAGACGTAAAATGTGAAAAGAAAAAGAAAAGATTGTTCATCCCATTTTACATCATGGATTCTTAGATAAAACCAATCCTAACGTTAGAATGGATTTTGTTTCTGGGTGGGAGAAAGAGATCGAGTTCTATTATTTTCTCTAGTTTTTGGTTGTTAAATTTAATAATTAAACCTAATAATAAAAATTTCTAAAAAATCATTTGGGTTAGAATTCACTCTGTTGGAACCTTGTTAGAGGTTCACTCTTGAAACTCTGGGTTAGAATTCACTCTGTTGGAAATCTGTTCAACCATTTAAGACTTTCCCTCTTAATTTTTTAAAAATGTAGTATTCAAATCTCCACTTATACATTTTTCTTTAAAAGAGAATATTTTCATTGCCTCATTTTGTAGGAGGGAGCTCAAACTTTTTTAGATGCCTTTCTAAAAAGAAATGAAAACTGCAAGAATTTACAACTGTTTGGAAAAATTTACAGATAGGCATTAAATTCAAATGTCTAAGATTACAGCTAGATATTCTAAGGTTTTGACCTTTGTAAAAGGGATTACTAGCAGAGTATAAAGAGAAAAAGTAATTTAAACATTTTTCCACATTGAAAAATATTCTATAGTAGTACTATATTTTATTAGAGGCCAAAGTAGTTTTAATGTTTTAATTCAAAAATATTACTATTTTCTACTAAATTATTCTATTATACATTTCAAGGAATAGTGTTACATAAAAATAAAAATACTTTGCAGTTCTTCAAATACATTCCTAAATCATTTTCCAAATTGCTTACTGCAGTTTATACACTAAAAATATGTAAAATTGCATCACTTTCCCTAAGACTGTGTTATTCTGTTGAGTTTTTTAATTTTTCTTTTTACTATATTAATGTTTTATCATAATATTTTAACTTGTATTTTCCGATGGCTAGAAAAAGTCAATATCTTTCCATTTGTTTGGTCTTGCATTTAATTTTCAGATACTAGTGGTATATTTATTATTATCAAATTAGGACATTCCATCAATTTCTCTTATGCTTCTTTCTTTAGAATATGCATCCTGAACTTACATGTCTCTGTGTGCCTATACACTCATGAAATCAACAACAATACTTGCATGACTTTGGGAGCTACTGATAGATCCAAGCCTTAGTCCATAAATTCGATGGTGGCAAAAAATTGATGTGTTTACCACTCTGTCTGAAATACCTTGAATAAAATTCAGACTATTAAGAGGTGCTCAAAAAACAAACCTTCTTTCTATTTGTTGAAGTGACAAATGAATTAAAGAAATAGACAAGTCAGAATATCATGGCTTTACCCTTCTCATGCTGGAAGCCATTTTATTTTATTTTTTTAAAAAGTGAATCACCTCTTTGCATATTTGTTGAATTTTCATTTCTGTTCTATTAGATATCCTAATCATATGCCTTATCAAATTAAGTTCAATCTACTTATTAAAACAAAAACAAAAGTAAAATTTAACTTATATATTTACTCTTCTATTATAATTTAGGTATGAATATTTAAGAGAGAAAAATCATTCAAGATCGTCAGACTTAGCATAATCCACAAACAACTTGCTAGATGTGAGGGAATTTTAATTTCTGATGGAGTTTCCAATAAGAGAAAAAGAATAATCAGATGGGAAGAGAGGCAAGTAGGAATTAAGAGGGAAATAAAAATTCAGAAAGAGTGACAGATATATGGGAAAGAGAAAATATAGATGTTTGTAGGGCTTTAAAATAGAGGGTCAAAATTGAAAGTTTCAACTTTCCTCTGGGTAGATTCCCAGTAGTGAGATTGTTGGGTCAAATGGCAGTTCTACTTTTAATTCTTCAAGGAATCTCTACACTGTTTTCCAAAGTGGCTGTACTAGTTTCCATTCCCACTAGCAGTGTAGAAGTGTTCCCTTTTTCACCACATCCATGCCAACATCTATTATTTTTTGATTTTTTTGATTATGGTCATTCTTGCAGGAGTAAGGTAGTGTTGCACTGTGGTTTTGATTTGCGTTTCCCTGATCATTAGTGATGTTGAGCACTTTTTCATATGTTTATTTGGCCATTTGATTATGAAAAAGATACTTGCACATACGTTTATGGCAGCACAATTCACAATTGCAAAAATATAGAACAAGCCCAAATGCCTGTCAATCAATGAGTGGATAAAGAAACAGTGATTATATATATATAATGGAATACTACTCAGTCATAAAAATGAATTAATTAATGGCATTCACAGCAACCTGGATGTGATTGGAGACTATTATTCTAAATGAAGTAACTCAGGAATGGAAAACCAAACATCATATGTTCTCACTCGTAAGAGGGAGCTAAGCTATGAGAATGCAAAGACATAAGAATGATATAGTGGACTTTGGGGACTTGGAAGGAAAAGGTGGGAGTGGGGTGAGGGATAAAAGGCTACAAACTGGCTTCAGTGGATACTGCTCAGGTGATGGGTGCACCAAAATCTCACGAATCACCACTAAAGAACCTACTCATGTAACCAAATACCACCTGTTCCCCAAAAACCTATAGGCAAAAAAAGTTTCAGCCTTCATTGAGTCATCTAACTTGGTTTAAACTGTTGTGATACTAGCCTAATAAGCATGACTTAAATGTTTGCTACTTACAAAGAGAAGACATTTAAACCTTTTAGAATTAGATCAGATATGCCCTAATAAAATATGGAGAACCACATCCTTGGGGAGAAATGCATGTGAGACAGTACTTTCTGCTGTATAAAGTTATATTCAAGATAATAAAAATCATGAGCAAAAGTTTCAACTCAAAAAGTTTAATGGATTTCTGCTTCCACTTAGGATATAAAATATAGCAAGGAAACAGCACTCCCAGCCTAATTATGAAAACAAGTGAATCATCTGAAAAGTTACAGTTATTTCACACTCATCAGAGAGCCATGGTCACAGAGTAGCCTAAAATCCAAGAGAGGATGAGACTAATAGAGAGAGTTGGGCAGGCTGCACAGCTGCTTCCATCTATGGCAGAGCAGCAGGAAGAGGAGACAGATGCCATAGACTTGGGCAAGAAAAAAACTGCTGAAATTATGACAAATTTTTAAAGGCTGGATGTGGGCTGGCATGGGAGTTTAGAAGCTCCGGGAGTTCCAGGCAGAAGGAATCCTTGTACCTATCCATTGACTCTTTTTCCTGAGCTTTCATCTAGTACTCATGAGAAAAATTGGATTTAGGAAAGGAGAACTGAGAAAGAGCCCCCTGAGGCACAGGTGCAGAGCAGGAGACCAGAGAAAACTCTCCTACACATGGGGCCTTCCACTGAGGAGGAGGCAGTGGTCATCTGCTTCTCGGGGAGCAGCAGGAGGTCTGATAGAGGCTCTTCTGATACAGATGGGGTATTATGGACTGAAGTTTTCTGTCTCCCCAGATTTGTATGTTGAAATGCTAACCCCAATGTGATGGTATTAGGAGGTGGGGTTTTTGGGAGGTGATTCAGTTCACAAGGGTGGAGCCCTCATACATGCCATTAGTGTGCTTATAAGAAGAGGCCAGAGAACTAGCAAGCCCTCTTTCTCCCATGTCAGAACACGAGAAATCAAGTTTGCAACCTGGAAGAAGGCCTCTAACAGAACCAATCATGCTGGCACCTTGATTTTGAACTTGAGCCTCTGGAATTGTGAGAAATTACTTTTTGTTGTTTATAAGCCATCCAGTCTATGGTA
The DNA here is from genome assembly GCF_000001405.40 of Homo sapiens. Lineage (NCBI taxonomy): Eukaryota > Metazoa > Chordata > Mammalia > Primates > Hominidae > Homo > Homo sapiens. The sequence continues at coordinate 81,520,452 of NC_000010.11, forward strand.
TTTTGTTGGGGCAGTCCAAACTGACTAAGATTCCAGGCCTCCCATAGTCTGAGTGGAAAGTGAGAGAACAGAGAGAAACCGGCTACTGTTTGGCCTTATATCAAGTTTCAGGCAGCAGATACCTTGAGAGTGGAGAGGGAAAGAAAGAGCTGTGTGGGAATGCCTCTGAGGCCCAGCTGCTCCAGGCCTGCTGCAGTTTTAGGATGCTGAGGAGAACTATGGGATGCTTCCAAGTACACCACACTGGATGAGGCAGTGCCCCTCTGCTTCTGGGAGAAAACAGAAGAGCTGAGACTTCCTTAAGGCACAGGTGAATGGGATGCTGAAGTGTGAGGGTAGGCTAGAGAGCTAAAATACACCCTTTAGACACTCAGATGCCAAGCCTTTCTAAGGAACGTGTCAAGTAATTAGAAGGCTCTGAGGAACTGAATACAGCTGAATCAGCAACAAAGCCCAATTAGATTAAGTTGCAGATTAAATTTTTCTTACTCACCCATGCAAGCCACACACTATTGTCTCATAGAAAAAGAAGCTTGCTTTTTTTTTCTGAGCATAAATATTATTTACCTCAATCTCTGCTACTTTTTAATATACAATATTTAGCAATTCAATAAATACTTTGAGACACATAAAAAAGTAACCCAGCCGGGCACGGTGGCTCAAGCCTGTAATCCCAGCACTTTGGGAGGCCGAGGCAGGCGGATCGCGAGGTCAGGAGATCGAGACCATCCTGGCTAACACGGTGAAACCCCGTCTCTACTAAAAATACAAAAAAAATTAGCCAGGAGTGGTGGCGAGCGCCTGTAGTCCCAGCTACTCAGGAGGCTGAGGCAGGAGAATGGCGTGAACCCGGGAGGTGGAGCTTGCAGTGAGCGGAGATTGCGCCACTGCACTCCAGCCCGGGTGACAGAGTGAGACTCCGTCTCGAAAAAAAAAAAAAGTAACCCAAGAAGATATGTCATCATTAAGAAAGGAATAAGTCAGTAGAATCAGATAGAGATGGCCCAGGTATTGATTTACTAACACACAGGGAAATTAAAATAATGATGAATATATGATAAGATAGAGTGGAGACGGTAGAAAACATATCTGGACAAATGGGGGGAATTTTAGCAGAGATACAAAAAGTGTAAACAAACAATGGAAATACCAGAAATGAAAATACAAGGAAATAGAGTTTTTTTGTTTGTTTGTTTTGCTTTCTGATAGGCTAATCAGTAGACTGGACATAGCAGAGGAAAGAACTATAAACCTGAAAAACAGGTCAATAGTGAAAAAAAATGGAACAAAATATCAGAGATCTGTGGAACAATACTTTTTACATATATATGTATATTTAAATGTGTGTGTTTCCCAAAGAAGTGAGAGAAACTGAGGAAGAGGAAATCATTTGAAAAAATAACCTGTACTAATTTTCCAAAATTATTGAATGATATCAAATCACAAAACCAAGAAGCTCAGAGACCCCTTAGAAGGACAAATACAAATAAAACCATCAGGAATATTATATTCAAACAAAATATGATTTAAAAAATAGAATACCTAGAAATCAGCCAGAGGAAAAAAGACCAAGTTGTGTCATACTTATAACATTGCTTACTAACAGGTGTGTTGTAGATACTTTACTGTAAAAGGATGATTCTGCCTTAATAGTTATGATATGAATCAAGTATACATCAGTATGTTTTAGATTAAGTTGGCTTAGAATACAAATATTTTTCTTTAGAACAAGACTCAAACTCTTTACTAATATGTTTATGTGAGATATCTCTGAAAAGGGTAGTTACACTGTAGTTAATGAAGTCACTATAATGTTTTCATTTTCCAAATTTTTTACGAAGACCATACTTGTATTGGACCATAATTCAAGCACATAAAGAGGAAAATTTAAATCCTTTTTTTTTTCAGATACAAAAAACCTGAGTCATTTAGCTTATTTTTAACGAAAAGGACCATAAGCCTCTTAAGGTTTGCAAAAGTCTCATCCTTTCATGAGTGATTATTTAAGTTCTCTCAATTATTCAGCTTTATGTTCAGAAATGTGCTAGCACTGAGTGGTGGGTTCGGTGATTCGTCCATTCTTTCTCTGGCACACCACAGTTATATTGTCTATAAGTCAGAAACAGAGCTAAATACTAGTTTATAAAGGTGAGTAAACTATTTTCTAATTATACTTACTTGGTTCATATTTAGCTGCTCAAGAAATATTTGCCAAATGAATGACTGTATGCAGGCATTGGGGTTGGCAAAATAAATAAAAATTAGACAAAACACTTTCCTAAACCAATATTTTCCATGCACACAAAATGTACTAAATAGGCTTGTGACTAATATCCCCATTGTACACAGGAGGAAGTTAATCGTTTTGACAGGGGCTGTGAAGGGGTAGAGAAAAACAAATCAAAGACTGTACTATACAAAGAATTATTCTGCTGAATTTTGAAAACTGAAAAATTTTAATATACACATTCATCCTTTTAACAAACAGAGCTAAGAATACAAACACCTAGGCACATGGCACTGTTGTCAGGGAGTTTAAAGTATGATGAATATAATTGAGGAGCAATACAGACAAGTTACCCAACCTCCTGGAACTTAGAATATAAGAGAGATCAGGAGTATCACCCTAATTACACAAATACATAGTATAAAATATGAAATAAAGCTAGGGCAAAGAGACAAGAAAGCGAGAAGGTTCAATGTGTTTTTTTAACAAAAGGACTCATCATCCCATTTGCACAGTAAAGAAAATGCATTGTGAATTCTGGATTCACTATCAAGCATCAGGTTCATGGAGATGAGTGGTGGAGAAGATGTTGGAGAGACTAGCAGAAGTTGAATCCTAATTTTTCATATATTCCATTTTAAAACATTTAATTTGGAAATTAGAATGAGTTTAAATATTTCAAACTTTAAACAAGTTAAGAATTTTTTGAAGAAACCAACAGATCATGAGCAATATTTAGACATTTGGACCAAGCAACCTTAAAACTTTTTTCCCTTACACAGATTCTATGACTTATGTAAACTAAATTTGCAGCCAAGAAGGAAAGAGTAAGATAGACTTTATTTAGGGTTGTCAGTGGTAAAAAAACAAAGCAGAAAAATTCAGGGGTAGGTCTCATATAAAGAGAGCCGAAATGTTCTCACTGGGTATGATTCCAAGTATGATGTATAGCCCATACTGGGAAACATTAACTAGAATATGTTTGTAAAGAAGAAAGAACATGGAAAAAATTTAAAGGTTCTCTGCAGTAAATGTAAGCAGCTTTGGTTGTTTTCTTGTTTTTTGTTTTTTTAATCATGAGCTTATCTTGGTTTCTAAGGGTCAGAGATAACTCTGTTTAGGTTTACATCTAATCATTTTTAATTTACAGAACTGAAAAGTTTAATCAGATAAACACAGTCCTAAGGATTTGCTGAATTTTACTGCTATTTATAGAATTACAAAATGCTTCAACTAAGAAATTAGTGTAACATAAGCTTTTCTTGGTTGAAGAAACTGAGGCAAAGAGGGTAGAAGTAATTTACTCCTAGCCAACCAGTAGGAATAACTGCATCTGCGGTACAATGTGGATCTCCTCACTTCTAAGTTGCTTCTGGTAATGAAACCAAGGGGTTAATTGATCAGGTATGCCTGAACTGCTTACTTTTGGTCATTTGCTTTTTGTTATTATTTTTTTCCTTTTTTCCATGAAGCTGAAGGCCACAGTAGCTGAAGGCCTCACCACTGAACAAAAACTTAATCTTCACTGGTTGCATTATAGATAATATGATAACATATAGGTCATTATGGTAATGGTCACTTCACTTGTTTTTCAGAAACTTGGACAGCTTCTATACAGTTCAAACTAGCTGAGACCACCAACCCTTCAATAGGCCCTGTGCAAATGCCTGAGAGTTGGGCTTTGACGTCATAGGGCCAAAAACTCTACCCTCAGATCATGCTAGTGCTGCCATTTTCCACACATATGAAATGCCATGAACTCCAGCTATGCTTGTGCAGAACAAACCTGTTACTTCATTTTTTTGCCACTACCAATTACCTTTTCCCATGCCTTAAGCCACTCTACTTCTCTAGGCTATAAATATCCCTAAGCCTTATCTTCAGCTAGGTGGATTTGGGAGCTGTTCGTCAACCTCCTCACCCAGTGCCGTTGACAATAAATCTTTTCTCTCTTGTAAATTCCATGTCACAGTGATTGATTTATTGCATGCAGGCAGAATGGACCTGGACTTAGTCAGTAACAATACAGCAGTCTAGCCAGGAGTTTTAGTCCATACCTTTTGCTGGTGGTTCAGTTGCCCTGTGCTGCTGCTGGAATCTTACAGGTACATTCAGGCAGCTGCTTGGGGCTATTTTTAAAGACATCTTCTCAGGATCCTCCAGCATTCACCACTGGCCTTTGGTGTATACTTCACATTTTTGCAACAGAGAAATAGTTTCTGGCCTGGAAGATGTCTTTTTGGGTAACTTTGATACAAGTGACTGGATTCTTATCTCTTTCCCTCTGGCTTGACTTCTGAAAGGAAGCCCTAGTTTGACCTACGTTGTAAGGGTCCTGGTTTTGGGGACAACTTGATATTAGGGAAGGATTAGGGAATCTCCACTTGCAGAAGTTCTCCTGGTTCTGTCTGGTTTCCGTTTTCTGAGATCTGGTTCTAGCTGCAGCATAGATAATATAAATATATTTTGACTGATCATGTTTAGAGTTTGAAACAATAGGAAATGCTAATTCTATCCCCACCTGCAGCCCATTAGGTTGTGTTCTCTAAAACTGGGCAACTTTCAGCTATGAATCCACGAGAAAAGAAAAGATGGTGTTTTTCTATAACACTGTGTGGCCACAGTGTCCTTTAGATTTCAGAGAGAAATGGCTAAAATGGGCTTCTCAATCATTAAGGAATGCCAGGTTTTCTGGGACTCCAGCCGGCTACATATTATTGTTCATTCTAGCACACATTTTAAAACTGATGGCCTAATTACATCAAAGAAAATTCAGAGCTCAAATAGTTATTATTCAAAAACCTGTAACTAATGAATTAACATGTAGTCTTCTAAAGTTATCTGCGTATCTCCCTATTTTTTTCTGCCTATTTTGAATCTGCTGACTTTTCTACTGGTATTGTGATAAAGCTTACTGTTCATGCTGCTACTAAATCATGGTCACTTGGCTAAAAGATTTTAAAAAGATGAAAGAGGTCTTTTAAAATCAAACTGACATGGAAAGTGCATTTTTTTTAACCTACTGGGGCATATAAAGCATAGCCATGTGAACAGGTTCCAGTTTTGTCAGAAACATAAGTTGGATCCAACTGTCTTGTTTATGTATACATATGCATTATGTTATCTGTTGCATTTACATGGTAGCAAACTGGATTATAAATAAATACTCATAAATTAAATAAATAAGCCGAAATGATTTTTAAGTTCATGTGACTTTAAAAATCTTTGGCAAATAAATAATTTTTAAATTATTGAAAAAAATGAAATAAAAACATCTTCAACATTTAGATACTTTAAGGTCATAAAGCTGTTGCTTCTATAATATTTTTTCTATTTGCTTAATATGTCTTTGGAAGAAAAATGAGATGAATTACTGTATGTTCACTCTTTTATGTTGCTATACCTGAATAAGCCTATATGAAAAACAAATTGTAAGATTATAGTTCAACAGGAAAGAGAGACAAAGAAACCTATTCTGTCTAATTCTAATGAAAAGGAGTACCCCCTTATAGTGGCATTGTCCCATCTCTACTTCCTGAGCCACAGTCCCAGATTTCAGCTCCCTCTGTCCCCAAAGGCCAGGAGATAAAATCGTGTCTCTTTCTCACACCCATCAGAGTACTCAATTTGTCAGGGGGCTACCCAAATCCATGTAGGGCAATACCCACTAAGACAAGTTCCTACTGGAGATATGGACATGTCCACTGGACAGCCAGTGAGACTGACTTGAGTCTACTCTCTCATTTTTACATGGGATCTGTATAATTGGAAGAACAACATGCCTACTTGTAAGGATGATCCCAAGAGAATAGAAAATCATTTTTCGTCAAATTTTGCCACTCATAATGTCACTAGAAATGATGCAGCAAATTTATTAAATACCTTTCTCACTGCTGAGGAATACTGTATGGATTTAGAAAAGGCTAGAGAAAAAGCCAATCACTTAGACCCCATAAAATTCTGTAAGGGCTGATGCAGCTGTGGCCATCCCCACAGCTGACTCTCATTGGAAAATACATGCAGGAGACAGCGTTAGACTTGAACATTCCTGAAATTGCACTTCAGCAGGGCTCCACAAAGGGGTCTCAAAAGAAAGGAGTCTAAATAAAGTATAGGAGGTAAAACATAAACTTCAAGAGGATGGTAAAACATAAACTTCAGAGTTTCTGGAAGGGATTTTTGAAGCATATAGGCAATACACAGATATAGGCCTAGATGTCTCTGAAAAATTTACAATGGTTTGTATGACCCATGTCAGCCAAAGCACTCCAGACATTCAGAAGAAACTACAGAAAACAGAGGTGTGCCAATGTCTCAACTGGTTGAGATTTTTCGCAAGGTTTCCAATGGCAGGGATGATGTCCAAGAAGAAAAGGGGCAACAGAAAATGAAACAAGCCACTCTGCTGGTGGCAGCACTGACCCATATCAAACCTGCAGTCCATAATCCAGGAAGACCTTGATTAAAGGTAAGGAGCCCCCATCCCAGAATACAGACTCTAAAGGATACTGCACAGTGGGACCCCACCAATGTATCTACTGAAAACAAGAGGACCATTGGAAGAAAGAGTGCCCAGATTAAAATAAGACTCTTGAAGAAGATAGTGAGCAGGCAGTGCAACAAATGCCTAAGATCACCAGTGGTGAACATAAAGATGAGGCCAAGGGCTTCCTTTCACCTTACTGATCCTGATGATTTCCCACATCCCACATGGATCTCAGGGTGACCATGATGGTGGGAAATAGACTTCTGGATTTTCTGATTGACACTGGGGCTTCTGACTTAGTCCTAAACATTCAACTTTTCAAGTTATCTGAGAAAACAATGCTATGCTGATGACAAGGGTCTCTGGAAAAACCTTGAAAAAGTTGTTTCTCCAACCCCCAGACTGCCAAATGGGCAAATCACACCTAAAACAAAGTTTCCTATGTATGCCTCAATGCCCCATCCTGCTGCTGCAATGGGACCTACTAACCAAGCTGAATGCTAGTGACTTTTCCCCCCTCTGGATGGACGTGAAGGTACCACCAGAACAAGCATGTGCCCTTCAAGTGGCACTATAAAAAAAAGTCAAGGGACCCCCCAACAAAGATCCTTGAAGAGATCTTAAAAAAGCTAAGGCTGGATTTATGGGAGGATGAGAGACCGGGACAGATAAAGAGATCAGCACCTATATCTGCTAAAGTTCCTACTGGTTGAGAGTTCCAAATTTGAGACAGTATCCACTAAAAGAACATGCTACACAAGGTATTCAATCTATCTGTAGCTGTGTTTCTTGAATATGACCTCATCTGCCCATGCCAGTCCCCATATAACACTCCAATTTTGCTGGTATGGAAGCCAGGCACACAGGAACATCTTTTTGTGCAGCACTTAAGAGACATTAACCAGATTGGAGAAGATATCCACCCAATGGTGCCTAACCCTTAAACTTTGCCACTGTGTCTGAAGACTTTGGTTGATTTACTGCTTTGAAACTTATGGATTATTTTTGGACACCTGAGCCCCAGCTCACAGGAACTCTTCACTTTTGAATAAGAAGATCTCGAGACTAGGATCAAACAACAATATTGTTAGATTGTACTCCCTCAAGTTTTTAAAAACTCTTCCAACCCTTTTGGTGAAATCTTAGCCACAGAATTAAAGGATCTCCAATTAAAAGAAGGAGAACTTCTCTAGTATGTAGATGACATCTTGATTACCAGTAAGACTAAAGAAGCCTCAGACCAAAACATTTTAACCTTAAATTTCCTAGTTGAACAGGGCTATAAAATCTAAAAAAAAAAAAAAAAAAAAAAAAGGGCCCAGATTTCTGAACCTTTTAAATACCTAAGTTTTGAGTTGTCACAAGGACAGAGGAGCTTACTCCCTGAAAGGAAAGGGGCTGTAGCAGAGGTAGCAGTACCTGCCGCCAGGAGACAGTTGTATGGATTCCTAGCTATAGCAGAGTTTTGTCATATTTGGATCCTCAATTTTGGACTGACAGCCAAGCCCTTCTATGAAACTCTTTAAGTCTCCTGGACATTGGGAAGCCTTTTGATCTGTTTGTCCATGAAAGACAAAAGATTATTCTTGGAACATTAACCCAAAATCTAGGTAATATGAGAAAACCCATTGCCCATTTCTCAAAACAGCTAGACATAATGACTAAGAAACATCCTATATGGCTGCGTGCAGTAGCAGCCACCTGTAATTTACTACATCAACCAGAAAAGTTTACCTTTGGCCAGCCCACCACCGTACACACTCCCCACTGTGTACTTCCTCCCTCTGTCAGAACAAAGAAGATATTGGCTTACTTCTAAGAGGCTAGGGAATTACCAAGAAATGTAATTAGGGAGTCCAAACAGGACCTCCACCAATAATAAAAGTGGGCCCAATACAGAGACACCATACTCAGGGGAAACAGGCGGATTGACTTTTACCATGATGCTGAGATCCACCAGGAATGTCAGGTACTTATTAATATTTCTGGACATTTTTACTGTATGGATAGAGGCCTCTCCCTGGTGGTATGAAAAGGCTCCTGAGGATGTAAAAACTCTATTAAAAAAAATAAGTCCTCAGTTTGGGCTACCCATGTCTATCCAAAGCAACCATGGCAGAGCCTTATAGCAAAAATAGCTCAAGAAACTTCTGGTACCTTAGACATTTGCTGGAAATTACACACTTCTTGGCGGCTACAATCTACTGGCAATATAGAAAAGATGAATCATACTCTTTAAAAGACTTTGGATAAGATTTGTCAAGGGACTGATTTATCTTGGGATAAGGCCTTACCAGTTGCCCTGCTTCCAGAGAGAGTGGCCCCTAGAATCAAGTTCCAGTGGAGTCCCTATAAAATGTTATATGGGAGACCCTTCCTATGCTCAAAGGGTGGGAGGTACTGGGGTACCCGGAGGGAAGCCGAAAATAATTAGTTGCTGTCAGGTACGTACAATCATTGGGAATCACTTTAATTGCTATATATGAATTCATTTCTGGGAGGTAAAATGTTTCCCACAGATGTTGCTTTGTACCACCTCTGTCCTGGAGACTGGATTCTATTAAAGTCTTGGAAGAATAAACATCCAGAAGACCAGCTTTATTCTTATTAAACTGGCCTTATGAGGTACTACTGTTGACCCATTCTTCACAGTCAAGTTAAAAGGAGTAAAACCATGGGTCCATCATACACAAGTGAAGCTGGTCCCAGAGTCATTAGATTCACTGTGCCCTCTTTACAGAAACGCCTCCGGGAATGGAAACCCTGTGACAGAGAAAAAAACTGCTGAGATTACCTGAATCTGCATCAGCAGTACACATCAGACACTGACTTTTCCAAATGGACCTGTGAACCTCTGACTGACCTCAAGCGAACTACTGTTTAAGAGACAGCTCCCTAAAGATAAGTAATGAACAACTCTCGGGTTCTTGCTTTATTCTTTGGTTTACTTGTTTTTGTCTACTTCTTTACCTACCTGTGATTTGCTGTGTATTGCCTGAACGAAGGCTTTATCCACTTCCTTGGCAAGCAGGGCTAATAGGCCCTTCCTTCAATCATACACATAATCACCTTCTACCTTTTCTGTTGTCCCTCCTTATTGACCTTTAGCCCCCAAGCTGGGAGAAACAACTCAATGACAAGGATTTCTAAGATGCTGGCAAAGGCAGATAATCTCTCTAAATGTCAGATATGTCACCCAAAGCCCTATTCTACACATGATCACAGTGATCCCATTATTCTGCCTGTTTACAATTTTTCCAATGTTCGCAACTTCACTCTTGACCATGCTAGGCCTCCTTGTGTCACTTACTGAGTTCGGATTTATCAGTCTGTACCTTCATCCCCTATTCCTTATTTTTTCTTAACCACCCACATGTCCAAAGCTACCCTCTGCCATACCCCAGTGTGTCCAACTGTATTCAGCCAGTCCATGGATCATTCTCATGCCAGCTACTCAGCATGTCCAACTTAGAAAATGATGGGCTACATTGCTTAAGAGAACTCCACACCTTCTGTTACCCTGCCTCTTCAGGCTACCTTCTAATGCTCTGTAATGGACAAAATAAGACACTTTCCCCTTATAAACCTGTTTGGGCTTTGCTTCCTTGAATGATCAGGACCCTCATTCCCTCTTGTACGCCCCTTTAAAATTATGCTTACAAAATACCACTTCAGTTTCCTATCTCGGCCCACAAGAATGGACACAGGCCCCTGACCTACAGAACATGTCCAAGATAGAACCTTGGTTTGACCTTATTTCTATGGTTAACCTACATAAATCCTTTCCAGATGACCACAACCTATCTGTCATTTTGTGCCCCTCCCCCTAGAATGCCTATTTGTTCGTGGAGGACATCAAGGAACCCCATGGGTTTTGGAATATATCAAAAATTAGGGGACACATGTGTACTGGGGTAGTTGATTACTCCTTTTTCTGTCCATAACTCCAGTGAGACCCAGTATTGGACTATATTTCTAAATTTGTTCTCCAGAATAAAAAGAACCATTTACCTGCCTACATATAAAGAACATGGATGCTGATATATATTTGGTAGAATACTCTTCCCATAATGGGGAACTAGATCATGTGAACATATTATCAAAAACTCTAAGAATAATGGCAAATGAAACAACCTTATCCATTGCTACCCAACAAAAGGGATCTCTTTTTTTGTGTCCTTTTATAGAATATTTACTTGTATGCTTTCAAATATTGTACTTAAACTGTTAAAGTACCAAAGTTCTGACAATGCAAAATGTTAAACTAAAACCAGAGACAGGAAAATATTTTCAAATGAGTGCCAGATAACTGCATTCCTTTAATCCAGATCTATGCCCCAATTCAGCAGGAAACAGCTAGAATGAATGTCACCTCAGATTCTTTAAGAATGAAGAATGGGGCCAGGCGTGGTGGCTCAAGCCTGTAATCCCAGCACTTTGGGAGGCCAAGGCGGGCGGATCACAAGGTCAGGAGATTAAGACCATCCTGGCCAATAAAGCGAAACCCTGTCTCTACTAAAAATACAAAAATTAGCTGGGCGTGGTGGTGCATGCTTGTAGTCCCAGCTACTCGGGAGGCTGAGGCAGGAGAACTGCTTGAACCCGGGAGTTAGAGGTTTCAGTGAGCTGTGATCGTGCCACTGCACTCTATCCTGACAATAGAGCAAGACTCCATCTCAAAAAAAAAAAAAAAAAGAATGAGGAATGGGAAAAAATGAGGAGGGCTGAAACTGAGGGGTTAATTAGGTCAGGGCTGCCTGCACTGCTTGCTTTTAGTTGCTTGTTTTTTTGTTACATTTTTTTCCCTCCTTTTTCAATGAAGCTGAAAGCTGAAGTAGCTGAAGTCCTCACTGCAGAACACCGAAACTTAACCTTCACTGGCTACTTTATAGAGAGAATAGGTCATCCATGGTAATAGTAGCTTCAGTTGTTTTTCAGAAACTTGGACCAGCTTCTGTTCACTTCAAACTGGTTGAAACCACGGACCCTTCAACTGGGCCTGTGCAAATGCCCAAGAGGTAGCATTTTGACATTAGAAAGCCAAAAACTCCACCCTCAGATTATGCCACTGTTGCCATTTTCTGTACCTATGACCTATGAAATGCCATGAATGACATCCACACTTGTGCGGAATGAACCTGTAACTATATTTTTTTCCCCACTACCAATTACCTTTTCCCATGCATTATATTACCCAATTTTCCTAACTCATTAACAACCCTAAGTCTTATCTTTGGATAGGCAGATTTGAGAGCTGTTTTGCTTTCTTGCTCAGTGCCTTTGTGAATAAATCTTTTCTTTTTTGCAAAATCCATGTCACGATGATTGATTTACCGCGTGCGAGTGACCTAGACCTGGCCAATTACAGTAACATTAGATCATGAAAAAAGCCAAACCAAACCAAAACACACAACAAAAAAACACACATTATCTCTATTGCAACAGCATATGTGTAAAGTTCAAACAAAAAAACACACATTATCCCTATTGCAACAGCATATGTGTAAAGTTCAACACCCAAGGAACATAGTTAAAGAGAAATATCTCTTCTAAAGAAGTGACGTGGCTAATGGAGAGGTTTTGGTTCAAGAACCACAACCTCTTCAGTCTTTCCTTGCCTCAGTCAGTTTATCCGTGCAATATGAGGTAAACACTTTCATATGAGTCCCAGTGCAGTCTCTTTAAATTCTGGGTATGAACTGTTAAGAATAATTAATATTGATTCTACACAGGTTTCATGCTACTTGTCATGTTTAGGGTACTTATATCCACTTAACCACGTATCCATTTATATCAATTTAATGTTCACAAAATATCCTGGCAAATGAGATGGATGCAATTCCAATGAAAGACTTTAAGTAGAGGAGTGGCATGATATCACTGAAGATTAAAAGCAACATGTAATGCAGTGTGTTGATGATAGGGTCTGTGTGGATTGGGGTGGGAGCTGGCAAATGTGGCAACAGAGGAGTAAGTTAAGATATCAATACAACCCAACAGAAAAATAATGTTTCTTAGATCAGCATGCTGAAGTGGAAGTCATACAAAATTGTTGAGGGTTTGGAATTTTGATGCTTTGAAAACAGTGCTGACAAGGTCAGCTGATGGATTAGCACATATCCTTGTAGAAAGTATCTCCTTTCTATGCCTCCTGGTAGCTGTGGGAGAATGTGAAGTTTGCAGGGTTGGAGCCAAATTGTCTTGCTTCAAGGCCAGGCGCCACCACTCTCTCTGTGGAAGCAAGGTACTTAGTATCTGCAGTATTCAGTTACCTCATATGTAAAATTCAAAAGACAATTCCCATATCATAGAGCTGTTGGTGAATCAAATACGATTATGTATAAACAAGTGCTTTAAGACTTTTTAAATATGTAACAAATCATAGATAATATTTATTAAGTGGTTAGCATGCACCAGGCTGTATATAGGTGCTATACATAGATTAAATTCTCAAACTCTTTAAGAAAGTTTTGTAATTATCTCTTATTTTATTCACAAAGAAGGTAAGGCTTCAAGATTTTAATTAACTTGTCTAAAACCCTATAAATTATATATGGTGTAACTACGGACATGTAACAGTGTGCTCATGGTGCACAGAGATAAAGAATCAATGCCTTAAATATATTCTAGAGGTTTTCCTTTGCTATGAGGCTTACTTAAAAATTCTATGTGGCACACTCAATATTCTGAACTAAATGTAAACAGCTGTCAACAGAAGGTGAATAAACTGAGGGTTTCAGATCTTGGACAAACAAACCAATCAATAGGTTTACTTTTCTTTTTTTCCATCAGCACATAACAATGGAAAGCTTGCAAAAAATGGTAAGGAATAAATACTGGTAAATTTGGAATGTATAATTGTGTGTATACGTATATATGTATATATTATACATTTAGGTGTATGTATATAATTACATATACATATGCTTGAATACCTAACCAAGTTAGGTATTTATGTGTTTATCTCAGCTGTGGCATTTATTCATAATTCATAGCATATTTTGTGTGCAAATATATCATATTTCACTAAACAATTATATTCATTTCAAGAAAAGTCACTTTGTTTTAATCTAAGGATAAACGTCTGCTTTCTTATAGCAAAGGTAATTAAAAGCTTTGCTTGAAACAAGTGTTTTCTTATTAATGGCTGTTATCTTACATTATGTGGGCTTTCTGATAGTGTTGAAAAATGGGAAAACATAGATAAAGGAGAGAAAAACGAAGTACCTCCAGACATCACAGAAACACTCATAACAAAAAATAAATACTAACAACAATAAAAAACCTCCAATATTTCTAGTGTAAAGAAAATGGTGTGGTAAATTGAACAGAAATTACGATTTAATTATTTCTGGCATTAAAAGTATGAGGAATGCCGGGTGCGGTGGCTCACGCCTGTAATCCCAGCACTTTGAGAGGCTGAGGCGGGTGGATCATGAGGTCAGGAGATCGAGACCATCCTGGCTAACATGGTGAAACCCCGTCTCTACTAAAAATACAAAAAATTAGCCAGGCGTGGTGGCAGGCGCCTGTAGTTCCTGCTACTTGGGAGGCTGAGGCAGGAGAATGGCATGAACCCGGGAGGTGGAGCTTGCAGTGAGCCGAGATGGCGCCACTGCACTCCAGCCTGGGCGACAGAGCGAGACTCTGTCCCAAAAACAAACAAACAAACAAAGAAAAAAAAAGTGTGAGGAACAGAGGAACACTGCATAAATTTTGCACATTTTATTTATAAACAATGTGAAACTGGAAATTGAGACCACGTTTTGGCATCTTATAATATGGACAATTGTAATAAGTGTATAAAAATGGAAAGAAATACTTGCCTCTATATCCTATTTTACATTATGAGGGTAGATGCTATTGGAAGTACTCATTTGTACATTGATCTAACTGCCACCTAGCAAATACCCACAGAGGAGTCAAATTATTGTTAGGTCCCTCATTGCCTGTTGACTCTTTAAGTGCAGTTCTGTCTGCTGCACACAAGTGCAGCCCTGAGCAGGATTATTAACAAGAGCCCTCTCAGGCACCACGGAGTAAGAAAAACTGAGCGACAGAGGAATGCCTTCTCCCTCTCACCAAGTCCTCAGGGCAGTTAAAAGCCTCAGGCATGGCCAAAAAATAACACAGAGAAAGTATCAAAGCAACACTTATATGTCATGTTTTCTTGTTGAGTTTTTTTCTCCAAATATATATATATGTGTGTGTGTATGTGTGTGGGTGGGGGAGGTGTGGGTGTTTGTGTATATATAGACATATATATACACACACATATATATGTGTGTGTGTGTGTGTATGTTTTTTAATTGGGATATTTGTTAATACAAGCAGACTAACAGACGCAATTATCCTTGTTGACACATGATATATGATATTTGTTACACGATTATTCCCTTTTCTCTCACAAATAAAAACTTAAAATGTTCTCAAATTTGCAATAAATATTATAATTAAGATGCATTACCTTTCTCTCCTGATTACTGCTGAGAAGATTAAAGGGCGTATAAAATACGAAACATTTTATTATCCAAAGTTCTGGGCATCCCATACATGTTGGAAATGATAAGGTATTTTTGCCTGACAAGCAAATAAGCACTAATTAAGAACAGAAATTTCAGCTATTTCAATGCAAGTAAAAGAGTAGGCTTCCTTGACAAGCAGAAAGAGACTATCTTCCACAGATAAACCCCTGAGAGTGCCTAATTTTGAATGTTAAGGACTAGAAATAAAGGTGGGCACTGGAGATAATATAAAGATTTTCAGATGCCTCTGGCAACAGGATGTGGGGTACCAGCAGAGGTTCTCTTCTCAGCTTACCTTGACAAATACACTTGTAGTGGATTAACCCTTATGGTAGCCTCTATGATCCTCACATCCATATGTCCACAACCTTGTGTGATCTCTTCTTCCTGAGTGTGGTTGGATCCTGTGATATGCAAAGGTGAACAGATGTATGAGATTCTGTGTATGTGATTACATGATTGTGTTTCATAAGGTTGCAGCTCCCTCTCCCTCCCTTGCTGACAAGCAGCCATGTTAGGGAACTCCACTGGGCAAGGAACTATAGATGGCTTCTAGGAGCTGAGGGTGACCTCCAGCTGACAGCTAGGGAAAAACGGAAGCTCTTAGACCTGCAAGTGTTAGGAGGCGAACATTGCCAGTACTTCTTATTGGTCTGTTCAGGTTTTGGATTTCTTCATGGTTCTATCTTGGTTGTGTGCTTCCATGAATTATTCATTTTTTTCTACGGCTTCCAATTTGTTGGCATATAGTTGCACAATTCAGTGGATCTCTAATGATTCACTGAATTTGTGCATTATTGGTTGTAATGTTTTCTTTTTTCATCCCTGATTTTATTTGTCTTATCTCTTTTTTTTCTTAGTCTGGCTAAAGGTTTGTCAAATTTGTTTCTCTTTTCAAAAATCCAGCTTTTCATTTTGTTGATCATTTGTTTTTTATTTCAATTTTATTTGTCTCAGCTCTGATTTTTATTATTTATTTTTCCTACTAATTTTGGGTTTGGTTTGTTTTTGGTTTTCTAGCTCTTTAAGATGCATCATTAGCTTGTTTATTTAAAACTTTTCCTCTTCTTTATGTAGACACTTATTGCCACAGACTTTCCTGTTAGTACAGCTTTTGCTGTATTCCATAGGTTGGTATGTTGTGTTTCCATTTTCATTTGTTTCAAGAAACTTTTAAATTACCTTCTTAATTTCTTCATTGACCCACTGGTCATTCAAGAGCATATTGTATAATTTCCATGTGTTTGTGTAGTTTTCAACCTTCCTCTTTTTATGGATTTCTAGTCACATTCCATTGTGGTTAGAGAAGATACTTGATATAATTTCAATTGTTTTGAACGTTTGAAGATTTAATTTGTGGCCTAAAATATGGTCTTTTCTTGAAAAAGACCCATGTGCTGAGAAGGATGTGTATTCTAAAGTCATTAGGTGAAATGTTCTGTAAACATCTATTAAGTCTATTTGGTCTATAGTGCAAATTAAGTCCAATATTTCTTTGCTGATTTTCTGTCTGGATGATTTTTCCAGTGCTGAATCTGTGATTCTGAAGTCTCCAACTATTATTGTATTGGGGTCTGTCTCTCCCTTTAGTGCTAGTAACATTTGCTTTATTTATCTGAGTGCTTCAATGTTGGGTGCATATATATTTACAATTATTATATCCTCTTGCTGACTTCTTTATTATTATACTGACCTTCTTTGTCTCTTTTTATAGGATTTCTCTTGAAATCTGTTGTCTGATATAAATATAGCTACTGCTGCTCCATTTTTATTTCCATTGGCATTGGATGTCTTTTCCATCTCTTTATTTGCAGTCTGTATATGTCTTTATACATGAAATGTGTTTCTTGTAGGCAACAGGTCACTAGGTCTTGCTTTTGATAAATTGAAATTGATAAATTCACTCATTGAGCAACTGATAAATTCAGCCATTCTATGTCTTTTGATTGCATGGTTTAGTCCATTTATGTTAAATTTTATGATTGATAAGTAAGAACTTACTCCTGCCATGTTTTTGTTTTCTGGGTGTTTTGTGGTTTTCTCTTCATTTTTATTTTCTGTCTTCCTTTTAGCAAGGGTGATTTTCTCTGGTGGTATTTTTCAATTTCTTACCATTTTTTTTGTATCTGTTGTAGGCTTTTAGATTTGATTTAGGTTAGATTACCATGAAGCTTGCAAATACTGTGTTATAATACATTATTTTAAACTGAAGACAACTTAACACTGATTGCATAAACAAACTAACCAAGAAACAAAGAAAAAACTAACAACAACTCTCCACTTTACCTTCATCCCCTCACTTCTTAAATTTTCATTGTTTTGATTTATATCTCATTATACTGTTTATGTCTTGAAAAGTTGTTGTAGTTATTTTCATAAGTTCATCTTTTAGCCTTTCTGGTCAAGATATGAGTATTTTACACACCACAATTTCAGTGTTATAACATTTTTTATGAAATTGACAAGAATGTGCACTCTACTGTTTTTAGATGCAGTGTTCTATAAACGTTCATTTGGTCAAATTGTTTACAGTGTTGTTTACATATTTACATCTTTACTGATTATCATCTTACTTGTTTTATCAGGTTTTTAAAAAGTCATGTTGAAGTCTCTAACTACAATTGGGAACTTGTCTATATCTTCTGTCAGTTCTATGAGTTCTTGTTGCAGATATGTTTACATTCTGTTGTTAAGTACATATAGTTGTAATATTGCTATGTCATCTTGGGAAATTTATCACATTATTGCATAATGTCCCTCTTTAACAATAATACTGTTTCTTCTTCTGAAATCTATTTTGTATGATTTTAATAAAGCTACAGTAGTTTCTTTTTAGTGTTTTCATAAAATACCTTCCTCCATCATTTTGCTCACTCAGTGTCTTTATATTTTAAGTGACGTTCTTTTTCTTTAGACAGTTTGTAATTAGGTCTTGATTTTTCCATCCAATCTGACAATCTCTGTTTTATAACATGTTAAAAAACCCATGTAAAAGTGCCAATTCTCTCAGGATTGATTCATAGACTCAATATAACAAAAGTCAAAATCTCATCAAGCTCTTTTTTTAAAAAAAATTGATGAAAGGTTTTACATTTTCTAGACAAATGCAAAGACATAATATAGTCAAGGCAATTTGAAAAGGTACAAAATTAGCAGACTTACACTACTAGATATTAGGATGATTGACAAGCTACCAAAATATAAGTCAATATGTTTTTGGTAAAAAATAGACAACTACAAAAATGTAATACAATAGAGACTCCAAACACAAATCCACATATATACGTATTTCTAATTTAGGACATTATCTTCACTACAATTCATTGAGAGATTGGAAATAATCTCTTTAGCATATATCAACGGGTAAGTTTGATTTCAATATGGAGAAAAAAACAGAACCTTAAACCCTATCTTATCTACTACCACATTAAAAAATTTGATTCCAGGCATATAGTAGACATAAATATATGATGTAAAACATTATATAATGTCCCTCTTTGACTTTTTAAACTGCTGTTGCTTTAAAATCTGTTTTGTCTGATATAAGATTAGCTACTTCTGCTAGATTTTGATGTTCATTTGCATAGAATATCTTTTTCCACCCCTTAGCCTTATGTGAGTCCTTATGTGTTAGGTGAGTCTCCTGAAAACAGCAGACACTTGGTTGGTGAACTCTTATCTATTCTGCCTTTCTGTATCTTTTAAGTGGAGCATTTAGAACAGGAAAATATCATAATTCTAAATATACATGCGCTTAACACTGGAGCTCCAAAATTTATAAGACAATTACTACTAGAACTAAGAAATGAGATAAATAGCAACACAGTAATAGTGGGGGACTTTAATACTCCACTGACAGTGCTAGACAGGTCATCAAGACAGAAAGTCAGCAAAGAAGCAATGGATTTAATTATATCCTACAAGAAATAGACTTGGGCATCCAAATTGGTAATGAGGAAGTCAAATGTTGCTATTTGTTGATGATATGATTGTATACCTAGAAAACTCTAAAGACTAATCCAAAAAGCTCTTAGAAAGGGTAAATGAATTCGGCAAAGTTTCAGTATAAAAAAAGTACAAAATGTACAAAAATCAGTAGCTCTGCTACACACCAACAGTGACCAAGCTGAGAATCAAATCAAGAACTCAACCCCTTTTATAATAGCTGCAAAAAATAAAACAAAATACTTAGGAATATACCTAATCAAGGATGTGAAAGACCTCTACAAAGAAAACTACAAAACTTGCTGGAAGAAATTATAGATGACACAAACAAATGGAAACACGTCATATGCTCATGGATGGGTAGAATCAATATTGTGAAAATGACCATATTGCCAAAACCAATCTACAAATCCAATGCAATTCCAATCAAAATACTGTCATCATTCCTCACAAAACTAGGAAAAAGAACTCTAAAATTCATATGGAACCAAAAAAGAGCCTGCATAGCCAAAACAAGACTAAGGAAAAGGAAAAAATCTAGGGCATCACCCTTACCTGACTTCAAACTATACTAAAAGGTCATAGTCACCAAAACAGCTTGGTAATGGTATAAAAATGGCATGTAGACCAATGGAACAGAATAGAGAACCCAGAAATAAAGCCAAATACTTATAGCCAACTGATCTTTGACAAAGCAAACAAAAACATAAAGTGGGGAAAGGACACCCTATTCAACAAATGGTGCTCGGATAATTGACAAACCACATTTGAGAATGAAACTGGAACCCCATCTCTCACCTTGTACAAAAATCAACTCAAGATGGATCAAAGACTTAAATCTAAGATGTGAAATCACAAAAATTCTAGATGATAATATTGGAAAAACACTTCTAAGTCTTTGGCTTAGGCAAAGACTTCATGACCAAGAATCCAAAAGCAAAGGCGGCATAAACAAAGATAAATAGATGGGATTTAATTAAAATAAAAAGATTCTGCACAGCAAAAGAAATAATCAGCAGAGTTAACAGAAAACCCACAGACTGGGAGAAAATTGTCACAATCTACACAACCAACAAAGGACTAATATCCAGAATCTACAAAGAACTCAAACAAATCAGCAAGAAAAAAACCCAATTCCATCAAAAAGTTGACTAATGACATGAATTGACAATTCTCAAAGAAGATACATAAATGGCCAACAAACATATGGAAAGATTCTCAACATCACTAATTACCAGGGAAATGCAAATAAAATCCACAATGTGATAACACCTCACTCCTGCAAGAATGGCCATAATCAAAATATCAAAAAACAATAGATTGTGGTGTAGATGTAGTGAAAATGGAAAACTTTTACACTGTTGGTAAGAATGTTAACTAGAACAACCATTATAGAAAACAATGTGGAGATTCCTCAAAGAACTAAAAGTAGATCTACCATTTGAACCAGCAGTCTCACTCCTGGGTATCTACCCAGAGGAAAAGAAGCCATTATACAAAAAAGATGCTTGCACACCCATGTTTATAGCAGCACAATTCGCAATAGAAAAAATATGAAACAAGCCTAATGTCCATCAATCAATGAGTGGATAAGTAAAATATGATATGTGTGTGTGTGTGTATATATATATATATACACACATATAATATATACATAGATAGATATATATATATATACACATATAATATATACCATGGAATTCTACTCAGCCATAAAAAAGAATGAAATTATGGCATTTACATAACCTGGATGGAATTGGAGACCACTATTTTAAATGAAACAATTCAGGAATGAAAAACTAAACATTGCATGTTCTGACTCATATGTGGGATCTAAACTATGAGGACCCAATGGCATAAGAATGATACATTGGATGTTGGGGACTTGGGGGAAAAGATGGTGAAGGATAAAAGACTACACATTGGGTTGAGGGTACACTGCTTGGGTGTTGGATGTGCCAAAATCTCATAAATCACCACTAAAGAACTTATTCATGTAACAAAACACCACCAGTTTCTCCAAAACCTATTGAGATAAACATAAATAAATAAATAAATAAATAAATAAATAAATAAATAAATAAGAAATTCTGGTAGATAACATAAGAGAGTATATTTATGAGCTTGGGGTAGTCAAGGAATATTTAAATATTAAAAAACACAAAATCTAAATGACACAATGCACTGTATTAGAGTTAAAATCATATAGTCATGAGAAAAATAAAACACTAGAGAATTAAAAAGCAATCCATAGAATTAGAAAAATGATTTCCAAAACAAATCTAAGACACCTTAGTCCAAAATACAAGTATATAAAATTTCCTGCAAATAAATATGAAAAAGGTTGACAATCCAGTAGAAAAATGGGCAAGAAAATTGGAGGTAGTTTAAATAATGTCATGCGGATGAAAGTGCATTCAATCTATTAGTCAACAGAAATTTACAAATTAAATCCACAATAATTTACTATAAATCACTCATAAAAATTGCTAGGTTTAAAAGTATTGAAAATACGGATTCTCAAACACTATCAGTGGTAGTATACCTTGATTAAAACACTTTGGTTATAATTTACATAACCAAATATAAGCATACCCTTGGACAGAAGTTCCGATCCTATGTACATATCTGGCAGATCTAATGATATTTGCATAAGAAATCACATGCGCAAGATTGATTACAGCAGCATTACACATAATAATTAAGAAGTAGAGACAACCCTAATGTCCATAAACAATAGAATGGATGGGTAAATCATGATATATTTCTATAATGGACTACTTTAAAGCAGTGTGTTTGTTTGTTTGTTTGTTTGTTTTGAGACTGAGTTTCACTCTTGTTGCCCAGGCTGGAGTGCCATGGCACAATCTCAGCTCGCTGCAACCTCCTCCTCCCAGGTTCAAGTGATTCTCCTGCCTCAGCCTCCCAAGTAGCTGGGACTACAGGCATGTGCCACCATGCCTGGCTAATTTTTGTATTTCTAGTACAGACAGGGTTTCACCATGTTGTTCAGGCTGGTCTCAAACTCCTGACCTCACTTAATCTGCCCGCCTCAGCCTCCCAAAGGGCTGGCATTACAGGTGTGAGCCACCGCGCCTGGCCTAAAGCAGTGTTTTTAAAACATTAATGCAAATATATGATACCTTATCATTTAAAAAATGAAAATTCTGTTTCAGTGGGTTCTGAATGGGAACAAGAGCCTATGTTTCTAATAAATTATTGTGTGATGTTAATGCTATTCTTCCTCAGACT
Organism: Homo sapiens; assembly: GCF_000001405.40. Taxonomy (NCBI): domain Eukaryota; kingdom Metazoa; phylum Chordata; class Mammalia; order Primates; family Hominidae; genus Homo; species Homo sapiens. The sequence goes on from NC_000010.11 coordinate 81,542,887, forward strand.
ACACATTGAAGACCATGGATATGGGGCAATAAAAAAGAACAAACAATTGCTATATTCAACAAATTGAATGGATATCATATACATAATGTATAAAGAAGGCAGGCATAGAAAAGTAAATACTGTGTGACTCCATTTATATAAGATTTAAACATAGGCAAAACTAATCGCCAGTGGTAGCAATCAAAAGTGGTAACATTTGCAAGGGTGATAATAATTGGCAGGAAAAATGAAGAGGCTTCTGGAGAACTAGTAATGTTCAATTTCTTGATTCTGGTAATTATGTACATGTATTTAGACTTCATGTTAATACAATGAGCTGTACAGTTTTGACTGTTAAACTATATATATATATATATATATATATATATATATGCATGCACATATATAATATATATACATAGCATCTATATAAAGTTTACAAAGTAAATGTCTCTGTTTGTGCTTAATCTGCTATTAGTTCATGTTTTCTGAAACTCAGATCTCCAAACTGTTTAATTCATTCCACATCTAGGACCAGTTATTTCTATAAAGAATGGAAAAAAATGCTCCCATCATATGTCATACACACACACACATCATGGTATATTCAAATGCATGGAATCTAGAAATACCTTAAGCAAAAGATTAGGTCAAAGATAGAGAATAGTACAATTATATATATAGTAAATATTAGTAAAATGTAAGAATGACTTGCAATGGCATCAAAAAGAATAAAATACTCAGAATTATATATAATTCAGGAAGTGCAAGATATTAATACTGAAAACTACAAAACTTTTTGAAAGAAATTAAAGAAGACCTCAATAAATGTAAATAGAAAGACCTGTGTTCATGAATTAAGAATTGTAATCGTGTTAAGATGATAATACTTCCCAAAATGATCTGCAGATTTCATGAAAAGCCTATCAAAATGCCAACTGCCATTTACGCAGAATTGAGAGACAATCATGAATTACATATGGAATTGCAAGCAAATAACAAATATTTTGAAAAAAAGAACAAAGTTGGGGAACTCAAGCTCTCCAATTTCCAAACTTACTACAAAATTACAGTAACCTAATAAGTGTGATGTTGGCATAAGGATAGTCATATAGATCAATGAAATAGAATTGAGAGTCTGGAAATAAATTCATAAATCTAGGTCAGTTGATTTTTGTCAACAATACCAAGATAATCCAATGGAAAAAGAATAGTCATTTTAAAATTGGTACTGGAACAACTGGATAACTACATGCGAAAGAATAAATTTTGGTACTTATCACACATCATACGCACAAAAAAGTCCCAAAATAGATCAGACAAAAATTTCAGAACAAAAACTACAAAAGTATTAGAAGAAAACATTGGGGTAAATTGTCATAATTTTGAGCTTGGCCGAGGATTCTTAGATATGAGACTAAAGCACAGCAAGAAAGAAAAAAAATTGTTAAATTAGACTTCATCAAAACTAAAACTTTCATGGATCAAAGTTGGAGAACTTACATTTCCCAATTTCAAAACTTGCTACAAAGCTACAGTAACAAAATAAGTGTGATGCTGGCATAAGGTCATATAGTCATATAGGTTAGTGGAATAGAATTGAGAGTTTGGAAATAAATTGTGTGTGTGTGTTTGTGTGTGTGTGTGTGCTAAGTGTTTAGTATTCAAAATATACAAATAACACTTAAAACTGATCAACAAAAATACAAATAACCCAATTTAGAAATGGACAAAGGACTTAAATAGACATTTCACCAAAGAAGATATATAAATGTCCTTTAAGCACATGGAAAGATGCTTAACATTATTAGTCATTAGGGAAGTACAAATCAATACTTCAATTAAATATCACTTCACATCCACTAGGATGGTTAGAATCAAAAGTCAGATATCAATAAGTGTTGGTGAGGATGTGAAGAAGTTGGAATCTGCATACACTGCTGGTCAGAATGTAAAACAGTCTAACTCCCCTGGAAAGCACTTTAATAGTGCATCAGGAATTTAGACATAAAATTACCATATAATTCAGCAAGTCCACTTCTAGGTATGTATTCAAGAGAGTGGATAACAGGTGTCTAAACAAAAAAATCTGCACACAAATGTCCATAGCAAAATTATTCACAATAGCTAAAAAGTGGAAACAACCCAAATGTCCATTCATAGAGAAATAGGTAGACAGAATGTGACATCGCCATATAACAGAATATTATTCAGCCATAAATACAAATTTAAAAAATTTAAGTACTGATACATGCTACAACATGGATGAACTGTCAAAACATGCTATTTTTAAAATGTCATATACAAACAGCCACATATGGTATAATTACATTTATATTAAATTTCAAGAATGGGAAAATACACACAGAGAGAAAGCAGATTACCGAATTGCCATGGGGTGGGGATAGGGAGATGGCAGAGTGACTGTTAATGGTTATGGGTTTCTTGTTGGAGTGATGAAAATATTCTGGAATTAATGGCGATGGTTGCTAAATATAGTAAATCTACAAAACTGCTAAATAAACTCTATAAAATGATTAAAATGGTAAATTTTATGTCAGATGAATTTCACCTCAATTAAAAACAAAACAAGAATAAAAGAATGCATGGATGACTGAACAGAAAGTGTAACTCTATAAAAGCACACTTTACCTCTTAATCGTGAAAGGTTTCTCAGAGACTCAAAAGGGGTGCTCGTATTTCACATTTGAGAATAATGAGATTCAATTCACAACAGCAGAAGACTCCCAGTTTTTTAAGAATATTCTGAGACTCCATTCACTAACTCTAATAAGAAAAATGTGTTATATTCTGTTCTATTGCTAACACTGTGGTAGGCAATTTGTAATAGAACTAAGGGACAGTTCTTATTCCTCAAATTTGTGCAAATAGTTTAAGAAAAAAGATCTGTTGAAAATAAAATATTTGGGGCACAATAAAGGAATTTTGTCAAAATGAGAACTGTATTTATAATTTCAATGGCTGAAAGTTTAATTGGACAGCATGTATGTTAGAATCAAAATTGAAACCAATCTAGCACAACTGAGCAAGTTTCATAGGATAGATAGGAATTGACATAGATCTTGGTGAAAAATGATTTCAATATGAAAAAATAAAAATGTGTCTATAATAACACAGAAAGGATTTAAGATATTTAAAATAGAGAAAAGGAACTGAGCACTAACTCTTCCAAGGCACTGAGATGCAATTCGCAATTAGATACTCAAGCAAAAATAGTAGCATACCCCAAACACTGAGGTAAGCATTATTATTATCATTAAACAAAAAGCAAGCAAACAAACAAACTTTCTGAGTTATTCAGTAACTTGCCCTAAGATCATAAGACCAAATAACAGAAAAGTCGGGGTTTTAACTTAGTTCAGTCATAAAGCTCATGGCATTATCAGACTGTCTTTAAATGGATACAATTAATTCATTTCTTAATTCTGTAACGAAAAGAGGAGGCATAGTTATGCCTACGTTACTCTCCGACTGAGAGACATCTCAAGGTTATATGCATACAGGCTCAAGTTAGCACAGTGACTGTCACAATGACACCTGCCTACTTCATACGTATCATTCATCTTTATTTGTGTCATGTTTGTGCTTTGATGCCAAAGACATTTCAAGTCCTTTATGTCAGGTAAGACAACCGTTACATTCAAAACTGGCCAAATTGTGTTTCTAACTTATGTTCTTTGCCATAAGCCAAAGGAACAATGTATTTTAGATAGATTTTTAACATATTTTCAATTTTGTGAGAATATGTTTCAGGAGTGTCACCTTGATTGCCCAGATGACAAACCTTACAAAGAATATTCAGGATTTGAGGATTGAAATATAGTATAGTCACTGCTAAAATAATCACAAACAATTCTAAAAATGGAAAATGTTACTTCTCTGATTCAGTTTAAATCCTTTCTGTAGCCGTCTGTGGAGATCACCTGATGCTTTCATTCCTGGTGTGTAACACTGGCTAAGGAGAGTGGACATGCATAGTGAGTACAGCTCATCAGGTCTAGGGATATGTTTCAGAGAGAAGTCTATATAGTGTCCCAAGAACACACATCCTGGGACATTAAGCATCTTAAAAGGAATCATGTAGTGTCCCCTCACTTCTCATTTTTCATACCAGAGCAAACTTTAATTTCAGATTTTTCATTTCCTGAGGTGTATGTCTAGAATTAGGGTAATGAATGAAGAATTCTGAAATGGAGTTGGCCAGATTGGCTTGTATGTTTTTAGACTCTTACCAATGCTTTCATAGATTTAAGAGAAATGGTGGTGCAAAAGAATGACCAGACTCTTATTATATTTGCATTCCGTAACTTTTTGAAATTTTTACTTTCTTAGAACTAATTTTCATATCGTTTATTTATTGCCACAATAACCCTCAATAAAAGTCACCAAATCTCAGTTTTGTACATTAATAAACATTTCTTTTTGCTCATCAGATGTGGGTCATTATGCTGATCTGAAATGGTGTCAGCTTAGCTTAATCATACCTCGGGGTCAGCTGTGACTCAGTTGCAGATTGGCTTTGATGCTCTTGGCTGGGTGCTCTCAGAAGTTCAGGGTCTTTAAAAAATGTTTAAAAAAAAAAAGAAAAATAAGTTTGGGGCCTCAGGTGAGACCACAGAGCTTACTTATTTGGCTCTGCTCCATGGTCTTTTCTCTTTCAGCAATAGACTCCAGGCATGTTCCGTTAAAGGGTTCCAAGCGATAGTGGGAATGTGCAAGGCCCTTTGAGAACTAATCTCAGAATTAGCACAGTGTCACTTCCATCATATTCTATTAACCAAAGTAAGTTACAAGTTTAGCCCAAGTTCAAGGTGTAGTGAAACAGACTCTACAGCTCCTCAGGAGGCTCTGCAAAGCCATCTTACGAAGCTCATGAAAATACAAATAAACAGATTGTTTAGACCATTTTTATAATTAAACTATTATTCCAGGAATAATGACAGAAATAGTAGTGAAGAGTATGAGCTAGGCCAAGATGGCAGACTAGAAGCACTAGTGTTCAGAGGCTCCCATCGGAAAAAAACATAATAAGCATGTGAATCCTTCACCGGCAACCAAGGTGTCCAAGTTCTCCCATCAAAATTGACTAGAAGGCTAGCGTGACCCACAGAGAAAAGGAAGAACAGTGTGGTGCAGTGGCCTACCTAAGAGCAACACGGGGAAAGGGAACCCCCACCTCCCAGCCAAGGGAGGCAGTGAGTGAGCGTGCTACCCAGCCAGGGAAACTGCTTTTTCTGCAGAACTGTGCGTGCCGCGGATCAGAAGATCCCATTTGCAAACCCATGCCACCAGGGCCTGGTGTCCCAAACCCAGAATACGCAGATTCTTACAGCCTCTCAGCTGGAATCTGCTTAAGCCTACCAAACTCCCAGAGGGAGGGGTGACCAGCACCAGCTGCAGCTGCCAGCTCTCTAAGCCACTTGAGCTCTCTTGGGGAGGGACAGCAGCCAGCACTGGGACTCACAAATGCCTAACACGCTAAGCTCCCTGAGCGGGGGAAGGGTGGCACCCATTTATATAGCTCCAGTGCACTTTTCCCCTGCTGGAGCCAGAGAGGCTGGATGGCTTGGTCCCAAGACATGTCCCCACAGCCCAACACACCAGCTGTGGCAATCTGTGGCCAGAGTGCTTCTTCAGGCCCAACCTGACCTATCCTGCCCTGCAGGGCAGGGCTTCCCTGCAGGATCTCCAATAACTCCAGCCAGAGGCTTAGGGACAGAATTCAAACCTCCCTGACCCAAAGCCCCTAGGGGAAGGGGTGGTTGCAGTCTCTGCAGACAGCCGACTTAGCCTTTCCACCTGGTTGTTCTGAGGAATCCAGGGAGCCTAGATGAGTGGGTTCCCCCCAGATAAACACATCCTCTCCATCAAGGGACAAAGTGCTTCTGGTCCTGCTCCCCATGCCACCCAACTGGGTGGAACCTCCAACAGGGGTTGTCGGACACCCTATACAGGAGCGATCCTACTGGCATCAGATTGGTGTCCCTCAAGGTCAGAGGTCTTAGAAGAAGGAGTAGGCACCCATCTTTGCTGCTCTCCAGCCCCCTTGAGTGACATCTCCAGGCATGAGAAGCAATCAGATAAATAGGGCCTGAAGTGAACCCCCAGCAAACTACAGCAGCCCTACAGAAGAGAGACCTGACTATTGAAAGAAAAACACACAAGCAGAAAGTGACAATGACACCATCAACAACAAAAAACACCCCCACAAAAACCCTATCCGAGGCTCAGCAGCCTCAAAGACCGAAACTAGACAAACTCACGAAGGGTAGAAAGAATCAACGAGAAAATGCTAAAAATCTAAAAGGCCAAAGTGCCTCTTCTCCTCCAAATGACTGCAACGTTTCTCCATCAAGGGCGCAGAACTGGATGGAGGATCAGATGGACGAATTGACAAAAGTAGGCTTCAGAAGATCGGTAATAAACTACACTGAGTTAAAGTAGCATGCTCTAACTGAATGCAAAGAAGCTAAGAACCTTGATAAAAGGTTAGAGGAATTGCTAACTAGAATAACCAGTTTAGAGAGGAGTAAAAATGACCTGATGGAGCTGAAAAACACAGTACGAGAACTTCGTGAAGCATACACAAGTATCAACAGCTGATTTGACCAAGGGGAAGAAAGGATATCAGAGTTTGAAGACCACCTTATTGAAATAAGACATGCAGACAAGAATAGAGAAAATATAATGAAAAAGAATGAACAAAGCCTCCAAGAAATATGGGACTTCATAAAAAGACAAAATCTATGATTGATAGGAGCACCAGAAGGAGATGGGGAGAACTGAAACAAGCTGGAAAAAACACTTCACAATATTATCCAGAAGAACTTACTCAAACTAGCAAGACAGGCAAACATGCAAATTCAGGAAATACAGAGAACACCATTAAGATACTCCACGAGAAGATCAACCCCAAGACACATAATAATCAGATTCTCCAAGATCAAAATGAAGGAAAAATTGTTAAGGGCAGCAAAAGAGAAATGCCAGGTCACCTACAAAGGGAAGCCCATCAGACTAACAACGGACCTCTCAGCAGAAAATCTACAAGCGAGAACAGATTGGGGGCCAATATTCAGTATTCTAAGAAAACAATTTTCAAGCCAGAATTTCACATCCAGCCAAACTAAGCTTCAAAGCAAAGGAGAAATAAAATCCTTTCCAGACAAGCCAATGCTGAGGGATTTTGTAATCACCAGACCTGCCCTGCAAGAGCTCCTGAAAGAAACACTAAATATGGGAAGGAAAAATCAGTACCAGCCACTGCAAAAAACACACCAAAATAGAAAGACCAATGAGACTGTTAAGAAACTGCATCAACTAATGTGAAGAATAACTAAATAACATCATGATGACAAGATCAAATTCACACATAACAATACTAACCTTAAATGTAAATGAGCTAAATTCCCCAATTAAAAGACACAGACTGGCAAATTGGATAAAGAGTCAAGATCCATCAGTGTACTATTTTCAGGAGACCCATCTTATGTGCAAAGACACACACAGACTCAAAATAAAGGGATGGAGGAAAACTTACCAAGCAAATGGAAAGCAAAAAAAAAAGCAGGGGTTGCAGTCCTAGTCTCTGACAAAACAGACTTTAAACCAACACAGATCAAAAAAGACAAAGGAGGGCATTCATAACGGTAAAGGGAACAATTCAATGAGAAGAGCTAACTATTCTAAATATATATTCACCCAAAACACAAGCACTCAGATTCATAGAACATGCTCTTAGAGACCTACAAAGAGACTTAGACTCCCACACAATAATAGTAGGAGAATTTAACACCGCACTGTCAGTATAAGACAGAGCAATGAGACAGAAAATTAACAAGGATATTCAGGACTTGAACTCAGTTCTGCATCAAGTGGACCTAGTAGACATCAACAAAACTCTCCACCCCAAATCAACAGAATATACATTCTTCTCAGTAACACATGGTGCTTATTCTAAAATTGACCACATAATTGGAAAACACTCCTCAGTAAATGCAAAAGAACTGAAATAATAACAAACAGTCTCTCAGATCACAGTGGAATCAAATTAGAACTCAGGATTAACAAACTCACTCAAAACCACACAATTTCATGGAAATTAAACAAACTGCTTCTGAATGACTCCTGGGCAAATAAGGAAATTAAGGCAGAAATTAAGAAGTTCTTTGAAGCCAATGAGAACAAAAAGACAATGTACCAGAATCTCTGGGACACAGCTAAAGCAGTGTTAAGAGGGAAATTTATAGTACTAAATGCCCACATCAGAAAGCTAGAAAGATCTCAAATCAACACTTAATATCACAATTAAAAGAGCTAGAGAGGCAACAGAAAACTAATCCAAAAGCTAGCAGAAAACAAGAAATAACAAAAATCAGGAGATAATTTAAGGAGATAGAGACATGAAAAAACCCTCCAAAAAGTCAATGAATACAGGAGCTGTGTTTTTGAAAAAATTAACAAAATAGATAGACCACTAGCTAGACTAATAAAGAGGAAGAGAGAGAAGAATCAATAGATACAATAAAAAATGATAAAGAGGATATCACTACTGACCCCACAGAAATACAGACTACCATAAGAGAATACTATCAAAACCTCTACACAAATAAACTAGAAAATCTAGAAGAAACAGATAAAATCCTGGATGCATACACCCTACCAAGACTAAACCAGGAAGAGGTCGAATCCCTGAATAGAACAGTAACAAGCTCTGAAATTGAGGCATTACCTAATAGCCTACCAAGCAAAAACACCTAGGACCAAATGGATTCACAGCTGAATTCCACCAGAAATACAAAGAGAAGCTGGTACCATTCCTTCTTAAACTATTCCAAACAATTGAAAAGTAGGAACTCCTCCCTAGCTTATTTTACGAAGCCAGCATCATCCTGATACCCAAACTGGGAAGAGACACAAAAGAAGAAAACTTCAGGCCAATATCCTTGATGAACATCAATGTGAAAATCCTCAATAAAATACTGAAGAACCATATCCAGCAGCACATAAAAAAATTTATCCACCAAGGTCTACTCGGCTTCATCCCTGGGATGCAAGGCTGGTTCAACATATGCAAATCAATAAACGTAATCCATCACATAAACAGAACCAAAGTCAAAAACCGCATGATTATCTCCATAGATGCAGAAAAGGGCCTTTGATAAAATTCAACATCCCTTCATGTTAAAAACTCTCAATAAGCAGCTATTGATGGAACATATCTCAAAATAATAAGAGCTATTTATGACAAACCCACAGCCAATAGCATATTGAATGGGCAAAATCTGGAGGCTTTCCCTCTGAAAACCAGTACAAGACAAGGATGCCCTCTCTGACCACTCCTATTCAACATGGTATTAGAAGTTCTGGACAGGGCAATCAGGCAAGAGAAACCAAAAAATGGTATTCAAACAGGAAGAAAGGAAGCCAAGTTGCATCTGTTTGCAGACAACATGATTTTATATTTAGAAAACCCTATCATCTCATCCCAAAAACTGATGAGCACCTTCAACAAAGTCTTGAACTGATAAGCACCTTCAACAAAGTCTCAGGATACAAAATCAATGTGCAAAAATCACAAGCATTCCTTTATACCAACAATAGGCAAGCAGAGAGCCAAATCATGAATGAATTCCCACTCATAATCACTTCAAAGAGAATAAAATACCTAGGAATACAGCTAACAAGGGATGTGAAGGACCTCTTCAAGGAGAACTACAAACCACTGCTCAAGGAAATAAGAGAGGACACAAACAAATGGAAAAACATTCCATCCTCATGGATAGGAAGAATCAATATAATGCAAATGGCCATACTGCCCAAATTAATTTATAGATTCAATGCTATTCACATCAAACTACCATTGACATTCTTCACAGAGTTAGAAAATACTTCTTTAAATTTCATATGGAATCAGACAAGACCCAAGACAAGCCTCAGCAAAAACAACAAAGCTGGAAGCATCATGCTACCTGACTTCAAACTATACTACAGGGTTACAGTAACCAAAACAGCATGGTACTGGTATCAAAACAGACTTACGGACGAATGGAGAAGAACAGAGACCTCAGAAATAATACCTCATATCTACAACCACCTGATCTTCAACAAACCTGACAGAAACAAGCAATGGGGAAAGGATTCCTTATTTAATAAATGGTGCTGGGAAAACTGGTTAGCCATATGCAGAAAACTGAAACTGTACCCCTTCCTTACACCTTATACAAACATTAACTCAAGACGGATTAAAGACTTAAATGTAAAACCCAAAACCATAACAACCCTAGAAGAAAACCTAAGCAATACCATTCAGGACATAAGCATGGGCAAAGTCTTCATGACAAAAAGCCCAAAGCAATGGCAACAAAAGCCAAAATTTACAAATGGGATCTAATTAAACTAAAGAGCTTCTGCACAGCAAAAGAAACTATCATCAGGGTGGACAGGCAACCTACAGAATGGGAGAAGAGTTTTGCAATCTACCCATGTGACAAAGGTCTAATATCCAGAATTTACAAGGAACATAAACATATTTACAAGAAAAAGACAAACAACCCCATCAAAAAGTGGTCAAAGTATATGAACAGGCATGTCTCAAAAGAATACATGCAGCCAACAAACGTATGAAAAAAAGCTCAACATCACTGATCACCAGAGAAATGCAAATCCAAAGCACAATGCAATACCATCTCATGCCAGTTAGAATGGTGATCATTAAAAAGTCAGGAAACAACAGATGCTGGAGAGGATGTGGAGAAATAGGAATGCTTTTACACTGTTGGTGGGAGTGGAAATTAGTTCAACCATTGTGGAAGATATTGTGGTGATTCCTCAAGGATCTACAACCAGAAATACCATTTGACCCAGCAATCCCATTACTGGGTGTATACCCAAAGGAATATAAATCATTCTACTATAAAGACACATGCACATGTATGTTTATTGTAGCACTATTCACAATAGCAAAGACTTGGAAACAACCAAAATGCCCATCCATGATAGACTGGATAAAGAAAATGTGGTACATATACACCATAGAATATTATGCAGCTATAAAAGGAATGAGATTATGTCCTTTGCAGGGATATGGCTGAAGCTGGAACCCATCATACTTAGCAAACTTACACAAGAACAGAACACCAAACACCGTATGTTCTCACTCATAATTGAGAATTGAACATTGAGAACACATGGACACAGAGAGGAGAACAACACACACCAGGGCCTGTTGTGGGGTGGGGAATCAGGGGAGGGAACTTAGAGGATGGGTCATAAGGTACAGCAAAACACCATGGCACATGTATGCCTATGTAACAAACCTGCATATTCTGCACTTGTATCCTCCAACTTTTTTTTAGAAGAAATAAAGAAAAAAATGTATATAGTACATTCAGGACTCCAGAAGACCTTGTCAAGTCCCTTCTCTGAAGAATGTTTCACAAAATATTTAGTGGGCACTCTAATGGGGAGATTCTAGGGCAATACATCCACACTTCCTGAGCTTCATAGAAGGAGCAGCATATTCCAGGGGCTGGGCATTGTACGGCCATCTGAAATCGAAGTGGAATGAGCCCAGTCAAGAATGAGACACAAAGTCAGGAGGAAAGAGATAAAAATGGAAGCTGTATTGCAGACAACAGCAGATTGGAGAAGACAGCTTGGATCTATAGCCCCAGTCCATCTCCTAGTACCTGTGGCCATGAGTTCAGTTCACACACCCATAAACCCATCTCCCTGCAGAGACAGCACCCTTGTCAGGAAGCGCTTCACTGCATCAGTGACAGAGGCCTGCGGCTTCAGAGCATACTGCTTCCAGAGATAGGAAACCACGCTGCTGAGTGCTCAGCACTTCTCTCAATCTCACCAAGCAGATAAGGCACCAAGTGAAGGTGGATGAGAGAAGGGTAGAAGTTATCTTCCTAATGTTTCTAATTTTCCCTTTAAGAAACTGAAATGGAAGTTTTGTTATATTCAAACATGAAGATTCAGAAATATGGTCCCAGGCCAGGTGCAGTGTCTCACACCTGTAATCCCAGCACTTTCAGAGGCCAAGGCAGGAGGATTCCTTCAGCCCAGGAGTTCAAGACAAGCCTGGACAACATAGTGAGCCCCTGTCTCTACAAAAAAATGAAAAAGCCAGGCACTGCAGTGCATGCCCATAGTCCCAGCTACTCAGATAGCTGAGGTGGGAGGATCACTTGGGCTCCAGAGGCCAAGTGTGCAGTAAGCTATAATTGCACCACTGAACTCCAGCTTGGGCAACAGGGCAAGTCCCTGTCTCAAAAAAAAAAGAAGAAAAGAAAAGAAAAAGGAAGGGGAAGAGAAAGAAAGAGAGAGAAAGAAAGAAAGAGAAAAAGAAAGAAAGGAAGGAAGGAAGGAAGGAAGGAAGGAAGGAAGGAAAGAAAGAAGGAAAGAAAGAAGGAAAGAAAAAAAGAGAGGGCCGGGCACGGTGGCTCATGCCTGTAATCTCAGCACTTTGGGAGGCCAAGGCGGGTGGATCACGAGGTCACGAGATCGAGACCAGCCTGACCAACATGGTGAAACCCCGTCTCTACTAAAAATAGAAAAATTAGCTGGGCGTGGTGGCACGCGCCTGTAATCCCAGCTACTCGGGAGGCTGAGGCAGGAGAATTGCTTGAACCTGGGAAGCGGAGGTTGCAGTGAGCCGAGATCACGCCACTGCACTCCAGCCTGGTGATGGAGCAAGACTCCGTCTAAAAAAAAAAAAAGAGAGAGAGAGAGAGAGGGAGGGAAGGAGGGAGAGAGAGAAAGAAAGAGAGAGAGAGAGAAGGAAAAGAAAAGAAAAGAGTTCCTCCAACACTCTGGAGGGATGGGCATGGTTAGCTAAATGATTCTTAAGGTTTCCATAAATTTAAACTCTGTGATGCCAGAAGAAAGGAACTTGGCCTTTTTTTTTTCTATCTTTCACCACAGGATTTCTTAAGGCATATTTATATATAAATAAACAAGAAAATAAATTTTAGAGAGTATGAGCTAAATTTTGATGTTTTAAATGAATAAAAGGAAGTGAGAAGTAGATTGGTTTAGACTGACATGAAGAGAATAGATTTGAGGGACAAGAAAGAGAAATATTATGGATGAAACAATGTAAAGCGAGAAGAAAACTTATTCTATCTCTAGGCCATTTCATAGTCCAGATGTTGAAAAACACAGTCATCACTTGGTTACCTCTATGTTTATTAATGTCCTTAAGGGATGGTCAGAATTCAGTTCAAACAAAAAAAAAAAAATCAAGAAATCCAGAGACGACACATAAAAGCCTCGAATAATAGAGAAACAGATCTTATTCCTAAATTAAAGGAAAAATATTAATGTAAAAATCATGGGAAATTGTAAATCTCAACTCAAGGGGATTGTTTTGAAATCTGATAAATAAAGTATCAACTGCATGTAGACCATAAATATAAGAGAATTGACAAAATTCTTGAAAAAGGGTTGAATCACAACTTGAATTATATATTACTATCCTTACTTTATAGATGTAGAAAGTTTGATTTAGAGATGTTAAGCTGCCAAATGTAATATGCTTAGGAAATGACAAAATAAATAGGAAGTTATATCTATAAAATTCTAAAATCTATGCTCTTTTAACTATGTCATAGCTTCTTCTGATGACATCTAATGAGATTTAATAATATACAGAAATTTTCTTTCTTGGAAGCTTGGATTAACTGGCATAGGTAAACACAGCAGTGTAAAATTAAGGATGCTCTTCTTGGAAAATAAAATGCATGTTACTTATTTTCAAGTATACAAAGTATAAGGAATAAAATATGTAGAGCTTCTTTTCTTATGTGACAGCTGTTGACTGTCTAGCTAGTGAACAGGTGGGGTGCAGGGTAATCTCTTTGTGAAGCAGATCTTTGTGAAGGTATCCTCTGCATTTAAAAGAAGGGAGGAGTGGTGGTTTTAGGATTGACTCAGAGTCGCAATATAAAGTAATCGCCAAAAGTACAGAATTAAAAGGGCTCGGAAGACAAAGACAAAGCTTTTACAAATTTAAGAAATAGTTAGAGGTATGAAATTGTGAGGTGTGTGGTTAAAATATTTTGTGAGAGTATGAAATTTATTAACAAACAATCTAAAGGAAAAATAGCATGTTGATGATTTGCTTTTAAGGGAAAAGTTTAGGCATAGTGAAAGTTTTGGAAGAAGTTACTATATGTTGATGAAACAACAGCTTTTTTATTTTTTATTTTTATTTATTTTAGCTTCTTTCACTTTAATTATTTTGAAATTCATCCATGTTATTATATATATATATAAAATATGATATATATATATAATATGTTGTATATATACTTTCAGTTCTGGGATACAGGTGCAGAATGTGCAGGTTGGTTACATAGATATACATGTGCCATGATGGTTTGCTGCAGCCATCAACTCGTCACCTACATTAGGTATTTCTCCTAATGCTATCCCTCCCCTTGCTCTCCAACCCCTGACAGGCCCTGATGTGTGATGTTCCCATCCCTGTACCCATATGTTCTCATTGTTCAACTCCCACTTATGAGTGAGAAATGCGGTGTTTGGTGTTCTGTTTCTGTGTTAGTATACTGAGAATGATTGTTTCCAGATTTATCCATGTCCCTGCAAAGGACACGAACTCATTCTTTTTTTCTGGCTGCATAGTATTCCATGGTGTATATGTGCCACATTTTCTTTATCCAGTCTATCATTGGTGGGCATTTGGGTTGATTCCAAGTCTTTACTATTGTTAACAGTGCTGCAATAAACATACGTGTCCATGTGTCTTTATAGCAGAATGATTTACATTCCTTTGAGTATATACCCAGTAATAGGATTGCTGAGTCAAATGGTACTTCTGATTCTAGATCCTTGAGGAATCACCACACTGTCTTTGACAATGGTTGAACTAATTTACACTCCCACCAACAGTGTAAAAGCATTCCCATTTCTCCACATCCTCTGTTGTTTCCTGACTTTTTAATGACTGCCATTCTAACTGGCATGAGATGGTATCTCACTGTGGTTTTGATTTGCACTTCTCTAATGACAAGTGATGATGAGCTTTTTTTCAGGTTTCTTGGCCGCATAAATGTCTTCTTTTGAAAAGTGTCCATATATTTCACCCACTTTTTGATGAGGTTGTTTTTTTCTTGTAAATTTGTTTAAGTTCCTTGTAGATTCTGAATATTAGCCCTTTGTCAGATGGATATATTGCAAAAATCTTCTCCCATTCTGTAGTTTGCCTGTTCACTCCGATGATAGTTTCTTTTTCTGTGCAGAAGCTCTTTAGTTTAATTAGATCCCATTTGTCAATTTTGGCTTTTGTTTTTATTGCTTTTGGTGTTTTAGTCATGAAGTCTTTGCCCGTGCCTGTGTCCTGAATGCTATTGCCTAGTTTTTCTTCTAAAGCTTTTATGGTTTTAGGTCTTACATTTAAGTCTTTAAGCCATCTTGAGTTAATTTTTGTATAAGGTGTAAGGAAGGGGTCCAGTTTCAGTTTTCTGCATATGGCTAGCCAGTTTTCCCAACACCATGTATTGAAAAGGGAATCCTTTCCCCTTTGCTTGTTTTTGTCAGTTTTGTCAAATATCAGATGGTTGCAGATTTGTGGTGTTAGTTCTGAGGCCTCTGTTTTGTTCCATCATTCTATATATTTGTTTTGGTACCACTACCATGCTGTTTTGGTTACTGTAGCCTTGTAGTATAGTTTGAAGTCAGGTAGAGTAATGCCTCCTGCTTTGTTCTTTTTGCTTACTATTGTCTTGGCTATACAAACTCTTTTTTGGTTCCATATGAAATTTAAAGTAGTTTTTTCTAATTCTGTGAAGAAAGACAATGGTAGCCTGATTGTAATAGCATTGAATCTAAATTACTTTGGGCAGTATGGCCATTTTTACAATATTGTTTCTTCCTATCCATGAGGATGGAATGTTTTTCCATTTGTTTGTGTTCTCTCTTATTTCCTTGAGCAGTGGTTTGTAGTTCTCCTTGAAGAGGTCCTTCACATCCCTTTTAAGTTGTATTCCTAGGTATTTTATTCTCTTTGTAGCAATTGTGAATGGGAGTTCACTCATGATTTGGCTCTCTGTTTGTCTATTATTGGTGTGTAGGAATGCTTGTGATTTTTGGACATTGATTTTGTATCCTGAGACTTTGTTGAAGGTTCTTATCAGTTCAAGAAGTTTTGGTGATGAGATGATGGGGTTTGTAGTTCTCCTTGAAGAGGTCCTTCACATCCCTTGTAAGTTGTATTCCTAGGTATTTTATTCTCTTCGTAGCAATTGTGAATGGGAGTTCACTCATGATTTGGCTCTCTGTTTGTCTATTATTGGTGTATAGGAATGCTTGTGACTTTTGCACATTGCTTTTGTATCCTGAGACTTTGCTGAAGGTGCTTATCAGTTCAAGAAGTCTTGGTGATGAGTTGATGGGGTTTTCTAAATATACAATCATGTCACCTGCAAACAGAGACAATATGACTTCCTCTCTTCCTATTTGAATAACCTTAATTTCTTTCTCTTGCCTGATTGCCCTGGCCAAAACTTCCAATACTATGTTGAATAGGAGTGGTGAGAGAGGGCATCCTTGTCTTTTGCCAGTTTTCTAAGGGAATGCTTCCAACTTTTGCCTTCAGTATGCTATTGGCTGTGGGTTTGTCATAAATAGCTCTTATTATTTAAGGTATGTCCCATCAATACCTAGCTTATTGAGTGTTTTAGTGTGACGGAGTTTTGAATTTCTTTATCAGAAACTGATGACTCTGATAACCGGTAGCCAAGAGTTTTCTGTGACATTAAAAACCATAGGAAAACACTGATGCAATTAGAGACCAAGGCATTGAATTCCTGTACAGTGAAGTCTGGAAGGGAGCAATTTGTCCCGTCATAAGACCATTGAATTTTGTGGATTACAATGAAAGCCTGTGTGTGCATGAAACCAGAGAGAATTCCTTTATGTTTACTGATGATATATATTTATGCGATATCCATAGAAATAACGAACACCATTAAGGAGAGATGAAAATATGAACGGAAACTGGTAAGCAGGAATCAAGATAAAAATAATAGCAATATAATTACATGTCTTGTAATAAAATTTTATTGTATTATGCTAGCCTTAAATTTCTGCCATGTGACCAGTTCCTAAAAAAATGCCTGGCATATAATAAGTAAAAAAAATTCAACAAATGTATATTGAGTGAATGACTTGTGTCCTATCAAGGGAAAAACTAAAGTGAATAAGTGAAGAGTATTACTGATACAAATGTAAAATATTTGTAATATTATCTATGTATCACCAAGATCATGAAAGAGTTTCTGTATATAAGGTAGACATTTGTAGAGTAAATCATATTCAGGAACAATGTTTATTTCTCACGAAATACAACCGTTTAACTAGTTTTTCAGACTCCAACCGTACTCCTTGCAGTCCATTTTCTATAAATTGGTTACTTTCCAACATGTAGAATAGTCTTTCTAACACATAACATTCACCTTACTCTTTTTTTTTAATTTATTTTTTTTTATTATACTTTAAGTTTTAGGGTACATGTGCACATTGTGCAGGTTAGTTACATACGTATACATGTGCCATGCTGGTGTGCTGCACCCACTAACTCATCATCTAGCATTAGGTATATCTCCCAATGCTATCCCTCCCCCCTCCCCAAACCCCACAATAGTCCCCAGAGTGTGATGTTCCCCTTCCTGTGTCCACGTGATCTCATTGTTCAATTCCCACCTATGAGTGAGAATATGCGGTGTTTGGTTTTTTGTTCTTGCGATAGTTTACTGTAAACTAGTTCAACCATTGTGGAAGTCAGTGTGGCGATTCCTCAGGGATCTAGAACTAGAAATACCATTTGACCCAGCCATCCCATTACTAGGTATATACCCAAAGGACTATAAATCATGCTGCTATAAAGACACATGCACACGTGTGTTTATTGCAGCATTATTCACGATAGCAAAGACTTGGAACCAACCCAAATGTCCAACAATGATAGACTGGATTAAGAAAATGTGGCACATATACACCATGGAATACTATGCAGCCATAAAAAATGATGAGTTCATGTCCTTTGTAGGGACATGGATGAAATTGGAAATCACCTTACTCTTTGCTTCTTAAAATCAACTCATTTTCTGCCCCCACTTCCCAGTTGGCCTCAGAGTAATATCCAGACTATGTGGCTTGTCACAAGATAGTTTTGATTTTGTTCTGCTTTCATCTCTCACCTTAATTATAATCCTGGAGGCTGGAAAAAGACAGATTACTTGCAGTCAACTACTACAAGTTCCTTAATCCCTCCAAGCACATTATTTTCTCTGTGCACACTTTTTCTGTCTCCTCTAACTGCCTAGTTCTTTTATCACCTTTGAGACTTTGCTCACACTGTTGGATTCCTTTCACAGAGTCACTAAACTAAGCTTGGTTTAATGGCCTAGATCTGTCCTTCCAAAGGACCCTAAGTTTACCTCTGTAACAGCTGTTGGTCCAACAGTAGCTGGATCCCCATGTAGCTCAGCCCTTGCTCAACATCTCATTTATGGAAACAAACTCCAGCAATTTTATTAAGGTTTCAGCTCAAAAATCACCTAACCACAGAACCTTTATCAGATTACCCCACATGAAAGACAACTCCTTCCCTCTCTCATTATTTCTTTACTCTGTTTTACTTCCATGTAACACTCATACAATCTACAATGTTATTTAATTATCTATTTATTTTTAAATTGCTTTTTGATATTTTGTAAACACAAGGAGAGTGAGGTCCTTGCCTCTTTCATTACTACTGTATACTCCTTAACCTGAAAGGTGCCAACTGTAAAGCATGCACTTGGTCAATAGTTGATGAACAAATCAATAAAATTGTAAGTAGACTTTTGTGAATATCTAGGAACATAAATTGGTTCCAATTTATAACTCAGAGGAAATAGTTTGTAAGAGTCCCTTTCCTCTAGATAGCATCTCAGTGCTGCTGCTCTCCAGCTCTCATTATACTAGACTCCTGCTCCTCTCCCTCTATCAACTCTTTCAATATCCAGTAGTCATGACCCTTGCCATTTGGTCTCACCTTATTTCTTCCTGTAAACAATTTTCTCTATATTTATTCTCCTTTCTTACATACATTACATCTAGCGAAGAGATAGGAAAAAAGATAAATTTTCTTAAAAGGAAGGACAGGTAGCAGTGTGGAAAAAACAGAGGGTTAAAACAACAGCAACAAAAACAATAAAATACAAGCTCCCAAAAGCATGAAGAGTGGTGGAAGGAATAATGAAGATATCCGTGGCCATAAATATGACACTAACATAGTTTAATGCAATTGTTGCTTTACCAGTCTTTGCTGTATATTCTAACCAGAAACTGAGTCATGGTTGCATGTCTAGCTTCTATGCACTATTATAAGTTGTAAACTAAAGTGTCATTAGGTAAAATTCAATTGTCTCTGATAGGACAAACCCTCAAAACAGGCTAGCAGGATTTCCACAGATTAAGTTTCACCAAGGATGAGTGTGCAATATAAAGTAAAGTAATAAATAACAAGTTGTAAAACACCAAAGCAAACCAAACCAAAAAATACCAAATAGCAAGAAATAGCAAAATCAAGAAACAAAAGATTTAAGTAAACAAGAATTTTAGATAGCCCAGGCAATGAAATTACTGGATATAGAATATAAAATATGTACTTTAAATTAAAGATGGTTGAAAGAAATAATTGTTTCAAAAATAGTAAGTAATAAAATATTAAAATGAAGAAAATAGAAGATTAGATAATAAACAGGTGTAAGTGTGAAAAATACAATCAATGAAGTGTTAACTGCCAGACTAAATGCAGATAAATAGGAATTTACTAAAAAAAAAAAAAGAGTTAACAAAAAAACTTAGAGTCTAGGGCAAATTTTAAAAGAGAAAAATAAAAGGGAAATAAATAGATGTGGAAGACAGAATGAGAATGTCTAATGTAACTGAAGTTCCAAAAAATGAAAAAGAAAAGAAAATAGACAGAATAAATAAAGACATTGGCTTGGCATCCTCCAGAACATTGAAATACATGTTCAGTGTTTTAAATATATGAGGCATAAATTAAAAATTTTCATGCTTAGCACAACTTCAGACACATAAGAGAAAAATATTTTCAAAGAAGTAGCCAAAATGAAAGACAAATTATTTACAAAGAAATAACATATAGATGAATTGCAGACTGGTAAGCAGAAAAATTTATAAAAGAGGGACATAAAGGTAAATAAATATTTATAAATATTCATTATAAAACAATGTTGCAATATGTCATTGAAGACAGTTAAATAAAACAAAAACATGTAATAATACTGAATATTGGCAATACTGAGCACTTTGGGCTCTATATGTACTAACATCACCATATTTATATATATTTTTTCAGATTTTAAAGTTCAGGGGTATGTGTGCAAGGTATGCAGGTTTGTTGCATAGTTAAACGTGTGCTGTGGTGGTTTACTGCACAGATCATCCCATCACCTAGGTATTAAGCTCAGCATCCATTAGCTATTCTTCTTGGTGTTCTCCCTTCCCACACCCCCTCCACAGGTGCTTAGTATGTGTTGTTTCCCCCCATGTGTCCATGTGTTCTCATCATTCAGCTCCCACTTATAAGAGACAACATGCAGATCACCATATTTTTAATGAGAAAAATTCAACCCTTATGATTAAGTTTAGATTTTATTAATTGTGCAGATCCATGTTCTGTAGGGAAACACAACATAATATAAACACAATGTTTTACACTTAAAATGATGGAGAATAAAACATCAAGCATTCCAATAATCAGTGATAATTCTTCTAAATATAGACATACAGTTTATATAGAAAGTGCAAAATAATACGGAACTAATCAAGATAAATATCATTGCATTGTATTTGATCTTTAAAAGACACAGATTTACTTTTTGGGCCAAAAAGAAGTGGAAAATATTTGCCAACTATTCACCCAGCAGGGGACTTGCTTCCAGAATATACATGGCACTCATAGAAAAAAATGTCATTAAAAATTGGGCAAAGGACATGAATAGACATTTCTCAAGGTGGGGAATATAAAGACAACATCACTAATCATCAGAGAAATGGAAATAAAATTTCAGTGAGATATCATCTTACCTCAGTCAGAATGGCATTATTAAAAAGATTAAATAACAGATGCTGGTGAAGATTTGGAGAAAAGGGATCACTTACACACTGTCGTGGGGATGTAAACTAGTAATGAGAGAGGAGGCAGTTGGGGGCTGGTTAGGCAGATAGAGAGGGAGAGTCTTGGGAGCAGGACAGAGACGGGCAATGTTCACAGGAACAACCACAGTACAGCACCTATACTGCCTCTGCAGATAATGGGAAGAATTGTGGTTAAGAACTTCCCCTTGTGCCAGGATGTTGCTCAGAAGGGACTGTCCCAACTTAGGCATGGACACTATAAATTAAGCTAAATATACTTAACTTGACCCAGCTCATTATAAAGTCATTAACATGACATTAGCATTGTGGTTATAGCCCCCACCCGCCACTCCACAACTATGGGTTTCATTTAGGCACTCATGAGTAATAACCAAGATGGAGTCACTCTGGCCAACCCTAGGCATGCACAGATACAACACCCCTAAGAGGGAACGTTACCCCTCCCATTTGAGCAAAGACTTCCTGGTCTTCACAGAAGACTTCCTGTTTTTTGCCACATAAAATTTCCAGAATTCAGCCCGTTTTTGGCAGCCTGCTTTCGGCACCCCTCCTAATAAATTCTACTCTACTGACTCTCTGGTGTCCTCATGCCTAATTCTTTGTGGCCATAGGACAAGAATGCAGACCTAGCTGAACTAGGGACTAAGCAGACTGAAACAGTAAAGCCACTGTGGAAAACAATATGGAGATTTCTCAGAAAACTATAAATAGATTTACCATTTGATCCAGCAATCTCAATAGCAGGTATATATCCAAAGGAAAGAAAAATCTGTATATCCAAATGGTACTTGCACTTGCATGTTTATTGTGGCACTATTCACAAAGCAAAGACATGGAATCAACCTAAATGTTCATCAATGGATGAATGGATAATGGATATATACACACAATGGAATACTATTCACCATAAAGAAAGAATGAAATCTTGTCATTTACAGCAACATGGATAGAACTGAGGTCATTATCTTAAGTGAAATAAACCAATCACAAAAAGACATATAATGCATGATCTCTCTTACAGGTGGGAGCTAAAAGTGTGAACACATGGAAGTAGAGAATGATGAAAAAATAGATAACAGAGACTACAAAGGGTGATTAGGTGTAAGTGGAGGCAGGGTGAAGAGAAGTAGATTAAAGAATACAAATGTATAGTAAGGTAGAAGTACTAACTCAATGTTTGATAGCAAAGTAGAATCACTATACTTAAAAAAAATTATTGTATTCAAGTGATGGACACCCTACATATTCTGACTTGATCACTGTGCATTTTATATATATGTAAAAAATTTCTCATGTAACCCATAAATTTGCACAAATTAAAAAATACACAGAATAAAAATTAGAATTGCAAGGAGATGTCAATAAACTACATGTACAAATTCATACTTTCAGCACTTCTTATTAAATGATAGACACAGCAAGTAAAAATACTAATACAAATATAGAAGGTGTTAAAACCACAATAGTTTTAATGTGATGAAGTACAGAAGATTTTGTATCTACAATGAGAGAGTCCATGTTTTTTAATATACATAAAACATTTATGAAAATGGCAAACATTTTAAGCTAGAAAGATAATATCAAACATGTCAAAGAGTTGGTATCATGTTCTCTTATGAAAATTAAGAAAGAAATCAATAAAAACTTTAAATAAGCTTAGAAATTTTAAAAGGTTCATCCAAATAAGCATAGTTATAAGAAAACACCATAAGGAAAATGTTTATATATAAAAATAAATGATAAATATAGTAAAAATTATGGAAAATATATAAAGCAGTACTCAGCAAAATTTGTAAATTTAAATACTTGTATTCAAATAAATTAAAACCAACAACTAATAAGGAAAGGTCCCATCTCAAAATTAAAAGGAAGAAATGCTAAACGAAGTCCAAAAGAATAGAATAAAGGAAGTAATAAAAACAATGTAAGTAATTTTAAAACAGAAAACAAATATGCAATTAAAAGCCCCAATAATGCTAAAAGTACTTCAGTGAAAGTTGTAAAAAATGGACAAACCTCTGTCAAAACAAATTGTAAAACACATAAACAGTCTCCAAGTATTTGTATGAAGCTAGAATAAACTTCATGTCAACATTTTATTTAAAATGTTTTTCAAAATCTATTAGAATGATGAAATGATTGTTCTTTTTTAAATCCTTGGCATGCATGTTAAATTACATTATTTTTAAATTTTAACTCAAATTTGTAGTCTTGAAATAAAGTCAAATTGATCGTAATGCATTACGTTTTTTATACATCCTGAATTCAATTTGTCAATCATTGCATTGGGACTTTTCATCTATTTTTGTAAGTGAGATTGGCTTATAATTTTGTTTCTTGTTTGTCCTAAATATTAAAGAACATGTGCAGGTTTGAATAGAAGAATGGCTTTCATAAATGTTGTTGCATAAATAAATAAATAGAAGCCAACCTTGCACTATGCATGAAATTCAATTCCAAGCTTATGAATACTTAAATGCTAACTGGAGTAACTATAATACTGTTCAAAAATATATACAGTAATATCTTTATGATCTTGGTGACAGGAAAATACTTCTTAGCTCACAGTCAAATAATAAAGGAAAAGACTGATAAATTCTACTTCATTAAAATAAAGAATTTCTATTTATTTCTTTTTAAATCATGATAAATATAATTGGAAGTTAAGGGACAGACTTGAAAAAAATTTGCAAAATATTAAACAGATTACTACCTCATCATTTTAGGGACACTTTAAAGTCAATAGAGAAAAGTAACCTACCCATTCCAAAAATGCACAAAGAAACAGGGATTCCACCCATGAATATGTATAAGATTATTGTTTGTAATAGCAAGACACAAAACAAAACCAAAATGTGGAAACCACCCTAATATCCATTAAGACTAAAATGAGTTTAAAAATTGTGCAATACAAAATGTAATGAAGAATAATATACCATAGTTACACACATTAATATATTTATATCTAAAAAATGATATTGAGAAAAAGAAGCAAACCACAGAAGAATATGTACACTATAATTCATATAAACATTACAGAAAAGGCAAAACCAATCAATGTACTTTTGGGTGTTATAAATTTCTATGGAAATCAGGTACTTAATTAACTTTAAACAGCAGTTAGCTGTGGCAGGAATAAAGGAGGATAAAGTTGGATAAGTTTATATTATAATGTTTTCTTTAATGATCTAAGTAAAAGATACATATATCTATCTAAAAGACAAGTATATATTATGTTATGTTTTGTATTAAATTAAATACTGTACTACTATCTAAAATACAGTGCTTAAATGTTATTTATATTCCATAACCCATATTAAAAAGTAAGTTTTATGTAGATAGCTACTTTTAGGTTTTCTTCACTGCTGTGTTTCAAACACCTAAGTGGAGCCTAGTGCAGCAAATCTAGGCCAAATGAATGAACAAAAGATAAGCAGAGTGAATGGAGAAGTGCCTTTGTTAGATAAAATCCAACATTTTTCATAAAATTTAATCATACATTATTTAAGCAGTTTTTGATATTCACTTGAAATTGAAAAATTAAAGACATCGACAAGAGGCTAACCAATTTGTCACAGAATACTCTCGAAAGGCTCAGAAATTTGAGGCATAGTAAAAGACACCATAAAAGATGTGGGACATACATGGAACAGAAAATGAAAGAATTGTGTAAAACTATGAAGAACTTTGGCTATTAGACTCCTAGATCCTTACTGCTGATATGTATACAATCATGTGTCTTCCTCTCCCCAATCTCTGTAGGGAACAGATGGTTATTTTTCTATAGAGAAAGAAGACCAAAGTAGTTCTGCAATTAGTGGCAATAATCACAGTGGAAAGCAGTAGCAAGAGCAGATCAATCCAAAAGCTAGCAGAAGACAAGAAATAATCAAAATCAGAGCTGAACTGAATGAAAATGAGACACCAAAAAAAATACAAAAGATCAACAAAAATATAAGATGGTGTTTTGAAAGGATAATAAGATTGAAAGATTATTGACTAGACTAATAAAGAAAAAAAGAGAGATGATTTAAGTAAACACAATCAGAAATAACAAAGGGGACATTACCATCAGTCCCATAAAAATACAAAAAACCCTCAGAGACTATTCCAAACACCTCTATGAACACAAACTAGAAAACCTACAAGAAATTGATAAATTCCTGGAAACACAAGTTTCCAAGATTGAAGCAGGAAGAAATAAAATCCTTAAAAGACTGAAAACAAGTTCCAAAATTGAATCAGTAATAAAAGG
The DNA here is from genome assembly GCF_000001405.40 of Homo sapiens. Lineage (NCBI taxonomy): Eukaryota > Metazoa > Chordata > Mammalia > Primates > Hominidae > Homo > Homo sapiens. The sequence goes on from NC_000010.11 coordinate 81,568,346, forward strand.
CCTACCAATTAGAAAAAGCCTGGCACCAGACAGATTCACAGCTGAATTCTACCAAACTTATATAGAAGAGCTGGCACCATTCCTACTAAAGCTATTCCAAAAAATTGATGAGGAGGGACTGTCTCTTAACTCATTATATGAGGCCAACAACATTCTGATACCAAAACCTGGCAAAATCACAATGAGAAAAGAAAACTTTAGGCCAATATTTTTGATGAACACAGATTCAAAAAATACTAGCAAACAGAATCCAGCAGCACATCAAAAAGCTAATACACTGCAATCATGTAGGCTTTATCCAAGGGATGCAAGTTGGGTTCAACATATGCAAATCAATAAATGTAATTCATCACATAAATGAAACTAAAAACAAAAACCACATGACCATCTCAATATATACAGAAAAGGCTTTTGATAAAATTTAACATCCCTTCATGTTAAAAACCCTCAACAAACTAGGCATTGAAAGGACATACCACAAAATAATAAGAGCTATCTATGAAAAACCCACAGACAAAATCATACTGAATGGGCAAAAGCTGGAAACACTCCCCTTGCGAACCAGAGCAAGATAAGATTTCTCACTTTCACCACTCTTTTTCAACATAGTACTGGAAGTCCTAACCGGAGCAATTGGGTAAGAGAAATAAATCCAAATAAGAGACAAGTCAAACTATTTTTTGTACGTAGATAACATAATTTTATACCACAGACTCTGCCCAAAACTCCTAGATCTGATAAACAACTTCAGCGAAGTTTTAAAATACAAAATCAATGTACAAAACTTAGTAGCATTTCTATACTCCAACAACATCCAAGCTGAGTGCCAAATCAAGGATGAAATCCCATTCGCTACAGCCACACACAAAAAAATATCTAGGACTACAACTAACCAGGGAGGTAAAGAGACAATGAGAATTACAAAACACTGCTGAAAGAAATCAGAGCTAACACAAACAAATGGAAAACCACTCCATGCTCATGGATAGAAAGAATAAATATTGTTAAAATTGCTATACAACCCAAAGCAATTTAGATTCAAAGCTATTCCTATGAAACTACCAATTGTTGCAGGATCTTTGGGATGTTACTCTTCTGGCAGAAAACCTGTGGCTTGTGTCATTTCTGCCTAGGTTTTGCTCATGGCCACTGGGCTTGTTCTGCCGACTTGGCCTGGCAAACAGGGTTTGGCTTGAGCTACCAGCCTGGATCCCATGCCTCCAAGGGAGACTGCAAGTCAGGTGGGGAAAGGCATGGGGTCTGGTCACTACACAGTCAGACATGCCGGCTGCTGCTGCATGGCAGGCAGCTCCAGGTGCCGGCATGGGTGCCGGCTCTCTGTGAGGCTGCAGCTGGAGCAGGCACACTGTAAGCAGCTTCCTTGGCTGGCATCGGGGAATGCAGTGATGCCCAGAAGCTTGGAAATGCCAGGAACTGCAGGGACCCAGAGAAGGAGACACAGCCTTGGCTTGGGGAGCTCCCAGGTCTGGTCTCCCAAAGGGCTGCAGCTTTCCTCTCCTTCTCTTTGCCCACAGCATGGTGAGCAAGGGGCATATTTCATCCCTGTTTGTGTAACAGCTCTCTTAGCCTTGCCATTTGGCAGGTCCTGAGTTCTTGCCTTGTGACCAGGAAGAATGAGGTATACAGACAAGTGGAGAGTGAGCAAGGCAAAGAGGAGCTTTGAGTGACAGAACAGCTCAGAGGGGACCCACAGTGGGTAGTTCCTTCTCACAGCCGGGTTATCCTGACGAGTGTTCAGCTCCTAGCAGAGAGGAGACACTGGAATGGAAAGCTTCTCTCTGCAGGCAGGTCATCCTGTCATCTCTGCAGCTCTCAGCAAAGAGGGTAGCTCCTTTCTGCAGCTGGTCATCCCACTGTCTCTCTGTCCTCTGCTCTGCTCTGGCTGAGCCTGGGGATATTATGGCCCCTCAGAGGGGAGGAAGTTCCCACCGGTTGGTCCATGGGTGTGCCCCAAAAAGGCACCATAAGTTCCGACTCTGGTCCATGGGACTGGCAGCCCAGACACCAGCCTTCAGGCCCTCCTTGGCCTGATCTGCCCCCTTCCACCCAGGTGCCTGTCTGTCTTCTGCTGGTGTCCATGGTGCCCAGGCTGCTCCAGCCAAGAGCAACCTGCAGGGCAGCACCGAGCTGCGCTTCCCCCAACTTCAGCCTCCCTCCCAAAGCTTCTCAGTGCCCAAAGTCTGGGAGGTGCCACAGCCTCAGGGAGCTGGCATGTCAGCACTGCCTTGAGTGCGCACACACCAGGCCAGGTTATGACTGCTCCTGGGCTTGGCCCCAACCCTGCTCTCAGATCAGAACAGGCAGTGGTAGTGGGAAGAGGCCAGGCAGCAACAGCAAACACTCCTGAGCCTGGGGGGACAAAGGAAGCTTCCTGGGCCCCTGAGAGTGCAGGGATGCCTGAGTCTGTGGTTGGACAGGGCAGCTGCAGCGCACCCAGGGAGCTCCTGGCATGCAAACTCAGAAGGGGTGAGGCTTCTGCTTGTCCCTGGCTCCCACTGGCTCTGTAGATCATGCAGCCCTGGCCACAACCCATGCAGCCTGGGGTGGGGGCTCCAGGTCCTTGCTGGGCCTAGGCCAGTGTTCGGGGCAGGAGCAACATCATTGAGAGCTCCCCGATGGCCGCAACCTTCAGGGGCAGCCCAGGGCTCCCCTTCACCTGGCTTGTGGCCCTGTCTAGGGGGCACACCTCTGGAAGTGGATTGTGGACCCTGGGCCCAGCCGTCGGGAGTGTCAGGCTCAGTGGTCACGCTGATGCAAGGCAGACCCCAGGGACATGCACTGGTGCAGCCCCATACAGAGCCTCCTCCTGAGGTGAAAAACCCAGCATCCTCTGCAGAGTGGGAGTGGTGGCTGCACCACTGGCCAGGTTCTCGAAGCAGGCCTGCTCCCACTTTCCGTCCTGGCTCCCAAAGCGTGGCCCCAACTTCGCACCCCAGGCCCGGTCCCCATGCTCCATATGCAAGCCCAGCACCAACCTGGGCCCAGCACTGCCCTGGGCCCCTCTCTGCCCGATAGTGCTGTTCCTGCAACAGCAGGAGGCGTGGCCCAGCCCCATCACTGTAGTCCTCAGGGCAGTGGGTTTCAGGGGGCTCCCTGGGGCGGCCTGGGAACTGTCTTCCCCCTGCCCACACCTTCCCCGTAGTGCTGGCCGGCGAGAGCAGCAATGCATGGCCAGGGTTCAGAGCCATGGAGGCTCCAGGACTGAGAGGGGTTTCTACCCGGTCACATGAAGATGGAGGCAGTGCAGTTGGCCACCTTGTGGACATGGTGCACAGATGACCCACCGCCACCACTGCCGCTCCTGCTGCCGCTCCTGTTTCCACTGCCTGTGCTTCCCCACTGTGGACTGCCCCTTGCTGCCATCACAATGACATTGTTTCTATTTCTGTGAAATAGATACAGCTATCCTAAAATTCATATGGAACCAAACAAGAGCATGAATAGCCAAAGCAACACTGAGCAAAAAGATCAAAGCTGAAGCAATCACATTACCTTTCTTCAAACTATACCACAAGGCTACAGTAACAAAAATAACACGTTAGTAGTAGAAATATAGACACACAGATCAATGGAACAGAATAGACATCCTAGAAATAAAGTCACATCCCCACAACCGACTGATCATCGACAAAAATAAGCAATGGGAAAAGGACTCCCTATTCAATAAATGGTGCTGGGATAACTGGCTAGCCATACACAGAAGACTGAAACTGGACCCCTTTCTTACACCATATACAAAAATCAACTCAAGATGGATTAAAGACTTAAATGTACAACCTAAAACTATAAAAACTATAAAAATCCTGGAAGATAATCTAGGAAATATCATTCTGGACAAAAGTCCTTACAAAGATTTCATGATGAAGACACCAAAAGTAATTGCAACAACAAAAAAAATTGACAAGTGGGACCTAGTTAAACTAAAGAGCTTCTGCACAGCAAATGAAACTATCAACAGAGAAAATAGCCAACCTAAAGAATTGGAGAAAACATTTGCAAACTATGTATCTTATAAAGTCATAATATCCAGAATCTATAAGGAACTTAAAACAACAAAAAACCCTTTAAAAATGGGCAAAGAGTATGAACAGACATTTTTCAAAAGAAGACAAACATGCAACCAACAAGCATATGAAAAAAATGCTCAACATCACTAATCATAAAAGAAATGCAAATCAAAATCACAATGAGATACCATTTCACAACTGTCAGAAAGGCTATTATTAAAAAGTCAAAAAATAACAGATGCTGGTGAGTTTACAGAGAAAAGGGAACACTTACACACTGCTGGTGTGAATGTAAGTTAGTTCAGCCACTGTGGAAAGCAGTTTTGTGATTTCTCAGTGAACTCAAAACAGAACCACCAGTTGCCCCAGCAATCCCATTATTGGGTATATTCTCCCCAAAATATAAATTGTTCTACTATAAAGACATATGCACATGTATGTTCATTGCAGCACTATTCACAATAGCAAAGACATGGAATTAACCTAGATGCCCATCAATGGTAGACTCCATAAAGAAAATGTGGTACATATTCACCACAGAATACTATGCAGGCATAAAAAATAACAAGATAATGTCCTTTGCAGCAACATGAATGAAGCCTGAGGCCATTATACTAAGAAAATTAACCAAGGAACAGAAAACTAAATACTTCATGTTCTCACCTTTAAGTGGGAGCTAAACATTGAGTACATGTGGACACAATGAAGGCAATCATAGACACAGGGGTCTGTTTGAGGGTGAAGGGTAAGAGGATAAAGATCAAAATACTACCTATTGGATACTATGCTTATTACCTGGGTGATGAAATAATATGTACACCAAACCCCCACAACATGCAATTTATGAATATCTATATAATAAACCTGTGCATATACCCCCAAAATAAAAATAAAAGTTTAAAAAAAACTCCATATCTCATCATCAAGTCAAACACAAAAACAGCTTCTAATCAACATTTTAGCAACTCACTCTTAAAGCTGTACGATTAAATGCAATGGAATATCTGATGAAAGCCTACAAATGGAATGAGTTTAAAACAGATAAGCAAAAAAGCCAAAAATCGGGGAAAGATTCAGAAAAATAGAATTTCACAGTAATTTATATAAATTTGCAAACCTAAATTAGGAAGGTTTTGCAGAGGGAAATACCAAGATAGTATGCATCTATATTTGACATAATAAAGAGGTCAGTACATTAAATCTAACATTGATTACTCAAGAAATATTAGTATAAGCATGTTAATCATGTATGCAGGAAAATATCCGAAAAAGTCACAAACAAATGAAAGTCTTTGTTTCAAAGTAATTGGATTGTGGTGTCAGGAAGAGTATATTTCTGTCTTCACTATTAGTCTTTTAATAAGATTCAACATTTTAAAAATATTTGAATATATTTTTCTGAAATATATATATATAGGTCTGTATATATATATCACATATATATATCACATACACACACACACACACACATATATATATATATACACATTTCACAAATTCAGATAGAGGCTGATAATATTTTGCACAAAACTTCATTTTCCCATGAGAAAAATTATTCCACATGGAGTAATGCAGGGCATGTAGTGATGAATAACAGGATAAATAACCATGTTAAGGGAACAATAGTTACAGATAGTAACAAAACAGAGACACAGTCCCAGACTAACACATTTTAGTGAAATTTAAGAACATCCAAGCAAAGGGATTATTTGACATCTAGTGTCAGCTACAAATCTCAGCTACCTCCTGGCTGAGGCATGTTTTTCACTAGTAGCATAGTAAAAAAAAGTATTCATAGCTGACTCCAGAGACTAAATCACCACTTCTAGTAGCTGTAAGTAGAAGGGCCTGAAACCAATAAAGAAACTGTAATTTGGAGTTACCACGGAGGTGCCCAGATGGTTGGGATAGTAGGACCTGTAATAAGTCATCCAGATTCCTCCCTCAGAATCTCTCAGTATTATTTCTTACTTCTTATTCCCAAAGCTGCTGGGAAGGTTGTCACCTGACCCTTGAAAGCTATCAGTCCTCTTTGGAAGTTGCCCATGATTGAAGAAATCTGCATCTGCTGGGCCACTGCCATTTCCTCAGGGAGTCTGCACACAACGGCCAATCAACATAAGAGTTCAAATGTCCAGCTCCCTCTCCACAATGAAGGTGGACCACGAAGACATATCCAGGCTTCAGAGCACCTTGTGGGGTTTGAGGGAGCTTTTGATGATTGAAGCTCAATTTTTCCCCTCTGCCCAATCATTCTTTCTTCCCTTCCCTTACCCAGGAATTGACCTCAAGAGCACTCCCTAATAAACATCCTGTACCCCATCTCAGAATCTGCTTCCTAGGAAACCCGATCTGCAGTAGCTGAAGTTTCTTCTCCAAACAGGAGCAGATGGTTGCTCCAAGGTGATCATTACTATCTTAATGGTTGATCAGTACAACACATTTCAAAGACACCTCATGCACTTATTGTCTGTGGTTGCCACCAGAATTCAATTACCTAGCTTAAGCTTTGACTAAGCTGATATTTGCTACCGTATCATTTTAAGCACTGCCTCCCTGAGCAAGCCAGCCAATGGAGAGTAAGAACTACTCATATTCAGCTCAACATACATGAGAAGTGATTATAATTTTGAACCCCTGGTAAATCTAAATGTCCTCCAAATGAACTGGATGCAGGAAGGTCGACAATTATAGAAAACTTTTGCTCCCAAACAGAGTTCCTCTCAGCTCTTTTCTTCAGCAAGTCTGTCAAAGGAATTAAACTGCCTACAAGTTTGAAACCTTCAAGCAGGTACTGACAGGAACTAGTGAGTTAGAAACATAGTTGCCAGGGGAACGCCATCTGCTGCCAGGTTCCTCACTGCTAATACTTACTCAGAAAGACCAAGGCATCTGGTTTATGAGCCAAGATCTTGATGGTTTTACAGTGCACATTGCATGTAATTACAGAGCACCAGCAGGGTAACAAAAATCTGTGTTTTTCAACTGTTAGGAATTCAAAGAGTCTGAGAAAAAAAAATTACTAAAATTTCCAGGCTCTGCATAAATTTGGTGAACGGATGCATTCAATTAGGTTACTATAAATTACTAAGCAAGTGAGTCCGCTCAATACTACAGTGGTAGAAAAGAAACTGAAGACAGAGCAGGAATGTTGCATATTAAGATGAAGGCTAGTTGCTATGACAAAAAGACCCCAAAAACTATTACTTACATAATATAGCAGATATTGTGCTCTCATGTAACAGTCTGACAAGTAGGCTAGCAAAGTCATCCTACACCTTTTTGGTCATGCAGGGATTTAGAATCCTTCTATATTATTTCTCTACTTTTCTGTGGAATTGTATTTTCATTTATATGGTCAAAGATATATAATTCTAGTCCATAGAAAATAATAAAATGAGCTAGGATCCAGGAGAAGTGGTTTATTTATATTTAGAAATGAGCTGGTACACATATCACTTTTCACATTACATATAGACACCTAGCTGCAAGAGAGGCAGACACATTTAATTGGTAGCTAAGAGGCCACATGGGCAAAAAGGACAAATTGATTTTGTGGGAATAACTAGCAAGGCAATCTGTAACAGAGAGAAACAGAGTAGATGAAGGAATTTCAGTATAATGTAAAATAATGAGGATAAAAAGAGGGAAAGGAAGGTAACAGCATGCATTACCATACAAGTCAACCTGTGGAAAACTGAAACTTAATACTATCCCATTTAGGGATGAGAGAAATGTTTCTTGGTGTTTGGAGTTTTTTGTTTGTGTTTGTTTGTTTGTTTGTTTTCTGAGATGGAGTCTCACTCTGTTGCCCAGGCTGTAGTGGAATGGTGCAATCTTGGCTCACTGCAAACTCTGCCTCCTGGGTTCAAGCGATACTCCTGCCTAAGCCTCCCAAGTAGCTTGTATTACATACATGCACCACGATGCCTGCCTAATATTGTATTTTTAGTAGAGACAGGGTTTCACCATGTTGGCCAGGCGGGTCTCGAACTTCTGACCTCAGGTGATCTTCCTGCCTCAGCCTCTCAAAGTGTTGGGATTACAGTGTGAGCCTCCATGCCTGGCCACACATGAGGTTTTCTTCCATGAGTTTCTGCCAGTTATTGCTCAAGGTTTGCACCCATGAGTCATTGATACCCACAGTACTTTCTGTCTGCCATGCACAGGCATAGCAAGATCCAATGGCCAGATAAAGCTCTCAGAAAAAGGTTGCAAATGCTGATAGCTGGAAGTTAGGCAGCATGCCAAGAAGTGGCAAAACCATGAACATATGGATGGGAGGATGGAAAACATCTGATATAGTAAGGGTTATTAATAATTCTTCCAAAATGAGCAACACTGAGCTCAGTGCTCATTTTTTTGTCACAACTTTATTGAACTATTATTTGTACACCATAAAGTTACCCATTATGCATGAAAAATTTAATGATATTTAGATAAATTTAAGGGTGGTACAATCACAATCCACTTTTGAATATTTTAATCACCCCAAAGATATTCATTGTACCCATTCTGAGTTAATCCCGGTTCTCTTTCCAAGACTCAGGGAACTATGAATCTATTTTTTTTATTTACAGATTTGCCTGTTCTACACCGTTTATGTAAGTGGAATCATACAAAATATGGCCTGTTGCAACTAGCTTCTTCTGCTTAGCATAATGTTATAGTGGTTTGTTCATTTTATGGCACATAATAGGACTGCAAATTCATTTTTACTGGTAAATAGCATCTTATTGTATGATTATATAACATTTTGTTTACCCTTTCACCAATTGATGGATATTTGGTGATATGGTTGGGCTGTGTCCCTACCCAAATCTCATCTTGAATTGTAGTTCTCATAATCCCCAGGTGTCATGGAAGAAACCCCTTGGGAGGTAATTTAATCATGGGGTGGTTACCCTCATGCTTTTCTCATGATAGTGAGTGAGTTCTTGTGAGATCTGATGGTTTTATAAGGGGCTGTTCCTCCTTTTGCTTGGCACTTCTCCTTGCTGCCATGTAAAGAAGGATATATTTGCTTCTCCTTCTGCCATGATTGTAAGTTTCCTGAGGCCTCCTGAGCCATGCTTAACTGTGAGTCAATTAAACCCCTTTCCTTTATAAATTACCCAGTCTTGAGTATGTCTCTATTAGCAGCATGAGAACTGACTAATACAGTAAATTGGTACCTTGTGGTGGGTTGCTGCTGTAAAGATACCTTAAAATGTGGAAGTGACTTTGGAACTGGATAACAGGCAGAGGTTGGAACAGTTTGGAGGTCTCAGAAAAAGACAGGAAAATGTGGGAAAGTTTGGAACTTCCTGGAGACTTGGAGGGCTCAGAAGACAGGAAGATGTAGGAAAGTTTGAAACTTCCTAGAACTCTACAAAATTGAAATCTTCTGCACTTCAAAAGACACCATTAATAAAATGAAAAAGACAAAACAAGAAAGCAAGCGAGAGACAATATTTCAATACTATATACTTCTTAAATGTGGATTGTAAAATGAGTTCTCTAATTACTAACCTATGAAATCCACAACTTTGATTCTTAAAAGTGAGCTAATATTCAGCCTTGGAGTAGATTCTTGGTATAAAAGAGCCCACATTCAGATTTACATGGCTTCATATTCTTCCTCTATTGCTTTCTCTGTTACCCTTTCTTTCTTTCTTTTGCTGGTCTGTGCTTGCCATTGTTTGTAGTCTCTCACATATATTCTTGTTCCATCTTTTTCTCTCTGTGTCCTTTGGATATCTGTATGTCTTTATCCATCTCTTTCTTTTTATCATTTTTTTAAGATCTCCTGCAAAGTTCATAATACTTTAAATTATTGTGGAAACATAACTCTCTGGGGAAGGTTACTACAATCACTTTGTTTATCCTACTCCAAACATATAATTAAAAGTTATAAATTTTATTCATCATACTAGATGGCAAACATTGCTCAAGTGTTTTCAAAATCATGGGGTAACTGTTATTAGTCAGAAGCAATGACAGTCCAGGAAGTGAAGATGATGAAGATGAACAGAACATGACATTGAGAGGTAAAGCCAGCTGGACTTCCTGGGTGGAGTGGGGACTTGGAGAACTTTTCTGTCTTATAAGAGGATTGTAAAATGCACCAATCAGCACTCTGTAGCTAGAATTGTAAAATGCACCAATCAGCGCTCTGTGGCTAGATAGAAATTTGTAAAATGCGCCAATCAGTGCTCTGTAAAAATGCACCAATCAGCACTCTGTGGCTAGCTAGAAATTTGTAAAATGTGCCAATCAGTGCTCTGTAAAAACGCACCAATCAGTGCTCTGTGGCTAGCTAGAAGTTTGTAAAATGGACCAATCAGCATTCTGTATAATGGACCAATCAGCAAGACGTAGGCAAGGAGAAATAAGGGAATAAAAGCTGGGCACCCTAGCCAGCAGCAGCAACCTGCTTGGGTCCCCCTCCACAGTGTGGAAGCTTTGTTCTTTTGCTCTTCACAATAAATCTTGCTGCTGCTCACTCTTTGGATCCGTGCCACCTTTAAGAGCTGTAACACTCACCATGAAGGTCTGCGGCTTCATTCTTGAAGTCAGCGAGACCATGAAACCACTGGAAGGAACCAAGTCCGGACACAACACTACAGTAGTGTTTCCAAAGTTTCGACGATTCTCCAGACACCTAATTTTTTTTCCAAATTGGAGTTTCATATAGATTACATACTGCCTAGTATTTTATCTAAATAAATACATTTTATATAAATGTTTTCTAAGATAATCTAATTTGTTGTGCTAATTATCTTTTACAAATGCATATTGAAATACATATATATTTAAGTAAATGTGTTCCTTAAAGGGCCATATGAAATTATCTTCTGTACCACAAATGGTTCTCATATCACACAGTGTAAACCACTGTCCTATGACATATCAATAATAAATAGGGAGGCAGTGGAGAGATCTGAAAGCAAGGAACAATGGAGGAATGAGGGAGAGTTAAGATGAAAATTATGGTAGGTAGAATTACAGATGTTAAGGAATTTAGGTTCTTAACTCTTTGAAAAATCCCATATTAATGATTTCTGAAGACATGGAAGTTTAGGCATTTTGCAAAGTTCTTTCTGATTTTAGAAATATATATCATTCGTCTCAGAAATTCCAATTGAAGGCATTTACCTTGTGGATATAGTTTATATGTAGGAGATTTAAGCACCATTTTCTACAGTAACAAAAACAAAACAAATGAGATGAAACTAAACAATAACCTAACTGCCCCCAACAGAGCATTTAATTATTAGATTATGAATCTCCACAATGGGATCTTATGAAGTAGTTAGGGGAAATGAGATAGTTTAGAATAAACTCATATCTGAATTCTCAAAGATGAAGTAAAAAAAATTATGAAAAAACCAGTATGTATAGGATGCTTGGTTTTGTAGGAATACACACATGTATATACATACACAAATGTACCTACATATATGTGTTTATGCACAGGAAATTTCCAGAGATTGCATAAGAATTGTTCCAAGTGGCCGGGCGCGGTGGCTCACGCCTGTAATCCCAGCACTTTGGGAGGCCGAGGCGGGCGGATCACGAGGTCAGGAGATCGAGACCATCCCTGCTAAAACGGTGAAACCCCGTCTCTACTAAAAATACAAAAAATTAGCCGGGCGTAGTGGCGGGCGCCTGTAATCCCAGCTACTCGGGAGGCTGAGGCCGGAGAATGGTGTGAACCCGGGAGGCGGAGCTTGCAGTGAGCCGAGATCCCGCCACTGCACTCCAGCCTGGGCGACAGAGTGAGACTCCGGCTCAAAAAAAAAAAAAAAAAAAAAAGAATTGTTCCAAGTGCCTATCTCTAAGAGTCAGTTATGTGAAAAATACTCCTTTTACATTTTATGACTTTTTTAACACTTGGTTTCATATTTCCCCAGAAAATCATTCAATACCAGAAGACAATGAAAAAAAAAAAGGAATCTACAATGCGTAAAACATTGTGAAATAAAGAATAACAAAATGCATACCTCAACACTATGCTGTAAATTATAAGGTCATGGTCTCTCTGGCATAGCTGTTTCGTTGCCTTATTCTTGAAGAGCATAGTGCATATGATGATTCGTCTATGGAATATATTTTCAGACTTTCTTGTGGAGTAGTTCAGAAATGAATTTGGATATTAAATATTCCTTATCAAAAAATAACATGCACTCCAAGATCGTGCCACTGCACTCCAGCCTGGGCGACAGAGCGAGACTCTGTCTCAAACAAACAAACAAAAAAATGTGCACTGTAGGTTGAGCCTAAATTACTCAATTAATGATATTTGATCTACTAATGCCCCAAAGGATTGCATTAAATTTCCAAATGAATTGTGAATTTATGTATTTTTCCTGGTTTCCTGAAACTACAGACACTGTCTTGTATTTTAAGGTTGTATTTTTGTTATACCTAATTTTGTGATTTTGTTTTCTTGATTTTGTTTTATGAATATTAATACAACATTTGTCCTTGTTACTGATTATTATATCAAATTGGTTTATATTTGTGTAGTATATATTTTCCTCACTTATGCTCAACGCTTTGTAAACTAATTCTCTTGTACAAAAATATCATTTCATGTTTTATGTATTTTAACATTATCTATTTGTAATTTAATTACTTTATATAAATTACTGTTTTAAAATAATTTTTTCCATCTCATGTCATTTTGCCATTTACCATGTTTTGGTTTGTTTAGTTGGCCTTTTTCTCTACTTCCCTAATAGATAGCTTTTTAAATAGTTTTTTCCCTTTGGATAATTGAAATGTATATATTATATTTTAATTTTTATTTTGGTTACTACCAACTTAAGCTCATGAAAATATTTACTCTTTCGACCTTTATAACCAACTAATGGAAGCTCATCACTGAGGAATATGGGTATCTTGAACGTCTTTCAGCCCCTTGCATTCTTTCTTTCACCACCACCAATTGGAAAAGTTGCAATTAATTTTATATTTTCCTTCCAGATCGTTATTATCATCTCGTATTGCTATTGTTTTTGTTGCTTTTTATTGTTAAAACAATACAGTTTACCAGGTTATTTATGCACTCTAACTTCTAAATTTCTTTAATTTACTTTCTGGCTAGTGTAAAATTGATACATTTCTGAAGATGTGTTTGCTTAAAATTATGTTCATTTCACCCTACTACTTAAAGTAAATGCTATAACAATTTTAATTCCTTCAGTTTTATTTAATAGTTTAAAAATATGACTGAAATTTTTTTTCATGTACCCTGAGTGCCTAATTTTCTTATTTGGAATGAGTGAGGTACAGAGGCATTAGGTCATCAAAATAATCTTTTTACTGTATACCTAAAAAATGAGAATTTATCCATTGTTCCAAGAAAGATATGCCCAATTTAAAGAGAAAATATGAGTTATTTTAGGAAGAAAGCATATCAAAAACAGTCCTGATAAATTGAGCTCACATATAATGATCACAGCATCATTTGCAGTACTCAACAGAAATCAAATATCCATCTATAATAGAATGGATACATAAATTGTGATCTATCCTTACAAACTATATACAAAAATGGCACTGAGTAAACTACTGCTATATTAAACTATAGTACCCCGTTAATGAGATCATGGCTTTCTTTATCAGCATACTTTTGTTCTGTTTTTTAAGTCAAGTTTGGTAGTTTGTATGTTGCTAAAAAAAATCATACAATGATCTTAGCATTAACATTTTCTCATTGTTTTCCGTAAAAATTCAAGCATTTAAAACTGGCCAATAATTATGATTATAAATTGTTATTTTAATATTTTATAAGTTTTGCAGTGTCTCCCTTGAAAATATTATTACTTGAACATCTCAAAACTTTGTTTACTTTATTAATTCATGTTTTAGGAAATCAGTTTTGACCTTTTTTTTTTTTTTACTATTTTACAGTTTTTATTTTTATAGATTTTAACTCTAATATTTGTAACTGTTCTTTCTTAATTTATACATTTCTTATTTTTTCTCTTTTTTCTAATCCCTTAAGTTGCATTCCTGGTTCATGTTTCCAGTATTTGTTCTATAATAGCAAAAAACATCCGAGTATATAATATTAAGTACTGGTTAACTATGTCTTCAATGTATTCTTATGAATTGTCTTCCTTTTCAGTAGATGATATACATTTTTTAATACCTATTTTAAGTTTTTTCTTTGATTTTAATAGCAACTAAGGAAGCACTTATTAATTTTCATGTAGATTTTGTTTTTTATCATTCATTCTACTTTTATCAGTTAAGTCAAAGTTTATGGCTAATTAAATATAATTTAAAATTTATTAAGATTTTTAGTAAATAAATATAGAAATTAAAAGAAAACCATTTCCATGAATAAGAAAAAAATGTGATTATTTCTTCATAGGAATTAAATGGTACAAATGGTTCAGTATATCTATGTAATTTATGTAATTTAGCTAGATGATTGTGTTTCTCAAAGTCTCTGCTTATTTTTGTTTTTTTGAACTGTCAAATTTTAAATTCATTTCAGAATCTTATGTATTCTCCCAATGAGATAATTTAAAACTTTGGTGATAGATTATTACTAAGGTTTAATTTCCAATCCAATCTATTATAAAAAGGATTCTTAAGAAACACAAATTCCCAATCACATTGTCATCTTCTGTATATATTTAACTAAAGATTCATTGATTGTATTATTAAATGAGTGATCTTCTCTGGAACTTTATATTTCAAAATGTTCTTATATACCTCCACGGAAGTAATATTTTGGCTCATGATTATATTAACGAATCTCTATTCGGTTTCTTTAAAATCTATAGATGATATAGTTTAACTTTGCAGGTCTTGTTTCAAATGAAATCCTAATGTTTTTGATTTGTTTTATCTATGGAACTTTGTCTTTAACCTTTTATGATAAATTTTACCCTAATATATTTCAAAGAGTATATTTTTTCATTAATCCTGAATGTATCTCAACAAGTCCAGTCTACACTTTTAAAAGCCCAGTCTACACTTTTAAATTTTTTATATCTTTAACTAATGAAGTATTTAATTTTATTTTGAAATAGTTTACACATATAAACAAGAACACATAATTATATAATGATAACCTTTAATGGATTAAAGACTAACATGTAAAGTTCTAAATCTATAAAAATCTTGGAAGAAAACCTAGAAAATGCCCTTCTCAACACTGGCCTTGGCAAAATATTTATGACTAAGTCCTCAAAAGCAATTGCAACACAAACTAAAATTGACATGTAGGACCTAATTAAACTGGAGTTTCTGCACAGCAAAAGAAACTATCAATAGAGTAAACAGACAACCTACAAAATGAGAGAAAATAGTCACAAATTATGCATCTAACAAAGGTCTAATATCCAGAATCTATAAGGAACTTAAACAAATAAACTGAAAACAAATAACCTCATTAAAAAGTGGACAAAGGACATAAACAAATACTTCTCAAAAGAGTACCTACAAGTGGAAAACAAACAAGAAAAAATGCTCAACATCACTAATCATCAGAGAAGTGCAAATCAAAACCACTATGAGATACATTCTCACACCAGTCAGAATGACTATTATTAAAAAGTAAAAAATAACAGACAGTGTTGAGGCTGCAGAAAAAAAGAATGCTTATACACTCTTAGTAAGAATGTGTATAGTTTAGCCACTGTAGAGAGTAATTTGGAGATTTTTCAAAGAACTAAAAAACAGAACTACCATTTGACCCAGAAATCCTATTAATGGGTATACACCCAAAGAAAAATAAATCATTCTACCAAAAAAACACATGCACTTGTACATTCATTGCAGCACTCTTCACAATAGCAAAGACATGAAATCATCCTAGGTGCCTATCACCAGTGGATAGGTTAAAGAAAATGTGGTACATCTACACCATTGATTACTATGCAGTCATAAAAATCGAATGAAATCATGTTCTTTGCAGCAATATGGATGTAGCTGGAGGACATTAGCCTAAGAAAATTAACCCACGAACAAAAAAACAAATCCTAAATGTTCTCACTTGTAAGTGAGAGCTAAACACTGGGTACTCATGGATATAAAGACAGAAACAGTAGACACTGGGGACTACAAGTGCAGGGAGAGAAGGAGGGAGTCAAGGGTTAAGAAACTCCCTATTGGGTACTATGCTCACTACTCGAGTAACAGGTTCAATCATATCCCAATCTTCAACATCATACAATATACCCTTGTAACAAACCTGTATATGTACCTTGTGAAACTAAAAGTTGAAATTTAAACAATAATAATAATAATAATCGCCTTTATATCACAACCCATTTTTATTTAATATTCCATATATGGGATATTTCATATCCAAAATTTACTTTAAAGAGATATAATTTACTTTATGTATCCCAAATTTACTTTAAAAATATCATCAGATAAAATTGAGGAATCCATTTCTTCAACTATAGAAATTTCCAGGAACCCCAATTGGTATGAGAATATCTTAGTTTATGTCCTGCTTTGCCATTTCTTTATTGGTTATCTACATTCTTGTTAATTACCCCATCTGAACTGTTGTTTCCTTAATTGTAAAATGAAGATAATGATTCCTCATTGGACTGTTGTGAAAAATCAACAGAAATAGCTTAAACAAAGCTTTTAGGACTGTGAGGATACATTACGTCAATAAATGTTAATTTCATTTGCCCTTATATATATTTAAAAGCAAATACAAACTTCTGTAAAATTTTCCTAGAACTATCTAGCCATGGTTTTTGGGATCCTTCTGATTTTCCATAGCAGTTGGCACAGAATTCTTATGTAAAGTTTTCATATCTATAGCTGTGTAAGGCTATGATTTCCTGGAAGGCCAATTGAGTGCATCAGGATTCTGGGCATCCTAGGAAAATCTATAGTAACAATATTGTTAATATTTATCAATAAGTCACACAGGACTTATCAAAAGTCCAATAAGTTTGAATAAATAAGTGAACTAGGAAAGCTAAAATGAATTCAGTCTGAATCATCTTAATTACAGCCAGACATTGCATAATGATGTTTCAGTCAACAGACCACATGTATGATGGTGGTCCCATAAGATTATAATACCATATTTTTACTGTACCTTTTCTATGTTTAGATATATTTAGATACACAAATATTTATCATTGTGCTACAGTCACCTACAGTATTCAGTACAGTAACATGTTGTACAAGTTTTTAGCCTAGGAGAAATAGGCTATAATATATAGCCTAGTAGGCTATGCCGTCTAGTTTGTGTAAGTGAAGTACATTCTGTTATTCACAGAAAGATGAAATCACCTAAAGATACATTTCTCAGAACCCATCCCTGTGGTTGATCAATACATGACTGACATAGCCAGAAGGGAAAAAAAGGGCATGAATTGTTACCAAGGTCTCCAATGGTTTACAAAATCTTGGTTGTTGGCAATGTACAAACAGCAAAATGTTCACTTATGACACAATGTAGTGAGAGGAAATTTGCTAAATGGAAATGTTTATTCCCTTGAGTGCAAATGGATCTCACTAGGAGGCAACCTGCACATTTAGAGATTGGCCCTCTGTGGCCTCAGATGCTTTGCCAATTCCTGTTTAAGAGTTAGCAGAGGCAGGAGGCCTTTGCAAACCAAATGTGCCACGTATTTTTATTTCTTTTTGGATTGGGCACTTAACACAGCTTCTGCAAGAGCAAAAAATGGTGAAACTTGTGCATTTCCATGATTCTTGATTATTTCCAGGTTTATTTGGCTGAGTTTCTCTTATCTCTCTGATCAACAAGAAGGTTTCCCTGGTCTGTAATCTTTGCTAAGAGAGCCCTGTCAAGTGAGAAATATTCGTTATGCCCATTCAAAAGTAGCTTCCACTCAATAGCAGTGTATTGCTAAAGTCATTTGCTTATAGTGACAATATGACTTTTCTCAAAGTGTACTGCATTGTTTTAATACAAAGCCAGATGTCTTTTTTGAATATTTTAAACAAAAACAAGAAATGAATGCTATTTATTAGCATGAGTTATTTATTGTCCTGATGTTGTTCAGATGGACCATTTGTTATTTTGAGAAATAAGGAATTTCCTTGCATGTTTTTTTTTTTCCAAGGTATTTCATTCTGGGTAAATGAACAAAACCACGCCTAAGGTGAGTTTGGGTGAAACAGCCAGCTGCAGCTTTTCCTTTCAGTCACAAATATTTATATTTATTATTAAGGCTTAATGTTTTATAATTATTATAAGTACATGAAAAAAATCTAAGAAGAGCTCTGCATGTCACATAAGTTATACTTCCATTATTTCTCAGTAATATTGCTTAATGTCCCAAGATGTTTTGGTATCTCTTCTAATTGGGTGTGGAAAATAAACTCTCTTGGTCTTAAAAGAATTGAAATGAATAATCCCTTGAGAATTTTAAAACTGATTTTTCAAAGATCAAATAAATTGAGAGGATGATTTATCTGGCTACAGAGAAACAGCATGTCACCCATTGGAATACATCATTCTTACTAATACTACAATATCATTAATAGTCCATCGTCTGAGATAGAGAAAGAAACATTAATTTTAAATTCTTATTTATCAAACATATTTCATCAAATTAGATCATATATATTAGATAAATAAGTACTTATTGACCGGGCTTTATAGTAAGGAAAGACCCACTCCACTTTCAGTAATATTATTAGCCATAATTAATGTGTTTTTCTTATCTAAAAATGTAAGTAGTAGCAACTACTTTATGCTGCTTGGGACACAATAGGAGATTCATAAATGTTAATTTGATTGACCCTTCTTCCCTACTGTCTATTAGTTACCATTGAAACCAAGAGGTATGAAACATGACACACCTCTTCAACGTCCAACTTTTGTGACAATACAATAATAAATCACAGTATAAAGTATAAACAAAATATAATGTGACATATCACTATATATAATTTATCAATAAAGGGCATAGTCAATAAAATCTAACACAGTGCCAAGGTTTAAGGCTGATACCAAGCACAAGGTGCGCACTCACTAACTACTCAATATTTAGAAAAAGCCAAATTTAGACACTAAGAGTTAAAATAAAGTAATAAAATACAATATGAAATGAGGCCATAGGACTCCAGGCTCCTATGACTAGCTGAGGATAGTCATAGAAGTTTTCTGCCTTGATAACTTGAATATCATTTACCAAAATAGGTAACTGCTTAACACCACCTGCAAGCAAGCAAAATGCCACTCATCTTACTTTAATGCATAGTGAAAAACTATGCCAGGTATTAGATAAAAACAACTACAGCAGGTTGAATTTTATTGATTGGGGTGTGTGTGTGTTTGTGTGTGTGTGTGTGTGTGTGTGTGTAAAATTATAGGTTTGAAAATCATGTTTTTCCAGAAATGTTGTACCCTCTCAGGCTAGTTCTCCAATTTTTATTTCTTTGCTCCACTCTTTGCAGTCTTTGTCCTTTCATGCTCTGGATGATTTCCTCAAGTTTATCTCTAGTGCTTTTCATTCCATCTACTGTGTTTTTAAACTTTAAGAAATCTTTTCTTCTTTTGTTACTTTTTTCCTCCCCCACCCCATTCTCTCCCTTTCTCCATTTTTTAATTTTCCTGAAGCTCCCTCATTAAAGTAAGAATATATATTTGATGCACAGAATCAACATCTTGGATCCCTGAAGTCAGTTCATTTTTTTTTCCCTTTGGAGCTTTCTTCTACATGGAGATTGTTTCCACTGTATTTTCTGTCTGTCTCCATGGTGGTTTGGTTGTTTAACTCTGCCTCTATCTTCCATATTAGAGTCTTTCCTCAGCTGTCTTATAATATTCAGCTATTCACAATTAAGCATTTATTGGAAGCTCTGATAGTTTTCAGGCCTGCTAATAAATTGGGTAACTGTATAATTTATGGTGCAAACCAGGACTATTTTGATAGCAAAAAAAACTTTATTAATTACTACAATAAGTCAATAGATGCAAGCCAGGATCACCAGCAAACAAGGACACATGGTGATCAAGAAAGTCCATTTATAAGATAACCTCCTTGTCAGAAGCCTTAAGTCTTTTATCTTTTATCTTGTGCTCATCAAGTATTCCAGAGTGTTTTTCTAATTTTCTTGGAATATGAAGTTTCTACTGGCAACATTCCAGAAGCTGAGGGGAAACAGAAAGCTGGGGGTGGTAGTCTTACCTTCACAGTTTAGTGACTCCAGGTCACTTATCCCCTGTCCCCATTTTTTTCTAAGAAACTCATTTCTATCTGCTTCTCAAACAGATTTTACTCAGTCATCCTTATTTTAATCCCACTTCCCCTTTGCTTCCCAATTTAAAACTACATGAATGTTATGAATTGTAATAATTCTGTAGGGGTAAATTGAGTTGTTTCTTACCTTTCCTCACTTCAAGTTTGGGACTAGATTTTCTCAGATCAGGGTCTGTTTCGTTGTTTATGATATTTCTTCAAATCTTAGATATCTGTTTGTAGATTGTAAAATCTAGCTTTAATTTTCATACCACTAAAGGAAGAAAAAACTACCATTTAGCACATGACATACTACCAATTGTAAAATGCACTTCCAATTTTAGAGATATTAAAATGTAAATTTTTTAAAATGTGCAACTCAAAGCCAATAAAATATGGTACTATTCTGACAACAATCCCAACTGTGTACACTGCAGTTCAATTCTGAAATTACAACATAGAATTGGTACAGAGCCCATACGTTAAAGGACATGGTTCACAATAAGATTGCCCTTACTTCACAAGCTAGCCACAAGTTCAAGAGGTCTCAAGGACACACATGCTTCTGACCAACTAGATACAATTTGGTGGATTCCTACAATTTTTACCAATTTTGTAATTCACTAGAGTGACTTGCAGAATTAAGGAAGTGCTATACTTCTTATTGCAATTTTATTACAAAAGATAAACTCAAGAACAGTCAGATGAAGAGATAAACAGAAAAGATCTTGCAGGGTCCTGAACTCAGAGCTTCTGAGCCCCCTCCCTGTGGAATCAGGGTCAATCACCCTTCAAGCATATAGATGTTTTCACCAGTCATGAATCTCCAATGAGCTCAGTGTCTGAAGTTTTATTGGAGTTTCAGAGGTCAGGATGGCTCAAAATCTCAAAACTATAACCACGTAGTTGGCTTTTCTAGTGACCAGCACCCATTCTAAAGCTATCTAGGAGCCTACCATGAGTCACCTCATTAGCATAAACTCAGTTGTAACCCAAGGGCTTCCAAATATCAAAGACAACTCTATCACATGGGAAGTTCTAAAGGTTTGAGAATCATCTTTCCAGGAACCAGGGGAAAACCCATACAACAGGTACCAGTTGTCCATATGCTTTGCTTTCCAATTTCCAAAATTTTACTCTTTTCCCTTCTCTTCTCTTACTTAATTTATTATTGTGAGGTCTTGCTTTTAAAAACAATCACTTTACTATGTTGTCAGGTGGTTTTTCTGGAGGAAGCAAAATTGGATGCATGTATTCATTCTACTATCTTAAAACCTTAACTGAGCTGATAGACCTGAAAACACACTACAAAATTTTTATAATGCAATAGCAAGTATTAATCACAGAATAGACCAAGCAGGGGAAAGAATCTCAGAGCTTGAAGCCTGTCTTTCTGAAATAAGACAGGCAGACAAGAATGGAGAAAAAAGAAAGAAAAGGAATAAGCAGAACCTCCAAGAAATATAAGATTGTGTAAAGAGATCAAATCTATGACTGATTGGTGTACCTGAAAGAGCTGGGGAGAATAGAACCAATTTGGAAAACATATTTCAGGATATCATCCCTGAGAACTACCCCAACCTAGCTAGACAGGCCAACATTCAAATTCAGGAAACACGGAGAAGCCCAGTAAGATACTCAACAAGAAGATCATCCCCAAGACACATAATAATCATATTCTCCAGGGTTGAAATGAAAGAAAAAATGTTAAGGGCAGCCAGAGAGAAAGGCCAGGTCCCTTACTAAGGGAAGCTCATCAGGCTAACAGCAGACCTCTCATTGGAAACCCTACAAGCCAGAAGAGAACAGAGACCAATATTCAACATTCTAAAGAAAAGAAATTCCAACCCAGAGTATCATATCTGGCCAAACTAAGCTTCATAAGTGAAGGAGAAATAAGATCCTTTTCAGGCAAGCAAATGCTGAGGAAATTCATCACCACCAGATCTGCCTTACAAGAGCTCCTGAAGGAAGCACTAAATATGGACAGGAAAAACCATTACTAGCCACTACAAAAACACACTAAATTACACAGACCAGTGACACTATAAAGCAACCACATAAACACGTCTGCAAAATAACTAGCTAGCATCATGATGACAGAATTGATCAAATCCATGTATAACAATACTAACCTTAAATGCAAATGAGCTAAATGCCCCAATTAAAAGACACAAAGTGGCAATCTGGATAAAGAACCAAGGCCCATTGGTATGCTGTCTTCAAGAGACCCATCTCACATGCAATAACACACATGGGCTCAAAATAAAAGGGATGGGATTCTGGGAAAGATGGCAAATAGGAGACAGTGCTGATCTGAAGCTCCCACTAGGAGAGACAGAACAGTGCATGGAGACTCACATCATGGACTTTTCCTTGAGGAAACACTACAGGAGTATACCAAGAAAATGGAAAGAAATAACAGATTCTTTGAAAGAACTGGCAGGCTGCTGCAAATTCCACGAGACAGGCAAAAACTCTGGTGCTCTCTCAGAAGTGCCACCTCCTGGACAGGGACCAACCAACTTAGGACATTACAGCAGCTCATGACAGAACAACTCTGCTCCAAGGAAGAAGAATACTATAGCCAATTCCACTGCCTGCAACATCTTGGATAACCAGTGGTCCTGTGTCTGTCTACATGAAAACTTCACTGCTAGCATAATCAGCATTCAAGAAAGTCAGCACACTAAATACTGACATACTAAATATTCACTCCCCTACCACCTCCACCACAGCAGGTGCTGGTATCCACAACTGGAGACCTGAAGATGGTTCACATTATAGGACTCTGCAGACACTTCCTAGCACCAGCTCAGAGCCTGGTAGCCCTAATGTGTGGCTATACCCACAAGAGCAATAAGAATCAGTGCACTTTGGCTTGCAGGAAGCCCTATCCCTGTGGGAAGCAGGAGTGCAGCATGTCGAGTGATCACCCCATGGGACAAAAATATCTGAACAGCAGCCATTGAGTTCCAGATGTCTCTACTGAAATATTCTACCCAAATGGTAAGGAACCAAAAATGTAATTCTGATAATATGGCAAAACAAGGTTTTATAATGCCCCAAAAAGACCATACTAGCTCCCCAGCTATGGATCTAAAACAAGAAGAAATCTCTGAATTGCCAGATAAATAATTCAGGAGGTTGATTATTAAGCTACTCAAGGAAATACCAGAGAAAGATGAAAACCAACTTAGAGAAATTTAAAAAACAATACAGAATATGGATGAAGAAAATCTCCAAATAGATATTATGAAAGATATCATAAGAAAAAACAATCACAACTTCTGGAAACAAAAGACACACTTAAATAAACCTCAAAATACATAAAAATAGAACTTCCTTAAAGCGTAAATATCACAGAGCCTATAAAATAATAAAACAATGAGAAAAAGGAGGTATTTAGGCAACAATGAGCATAATAAATAAAACAGTACCTTACATCTCAATACTAACATTGAAGGTAAATGGTCTAAATGCTCCACTTAAGAGATATGGAATGGCAGAATGGATAAAAATCCACCCACCAAGTATCTGCTGCCTTCAAGGGACTCATCCAATGCATAAGGACACACGTAAACAAGGTAGAGATGGAAACAGACATTCCACGCAAATGGAAACCAAAAATGAGTGGGGGTAACTATTCTTATATTAAACAAAACAGACTTTAAAGCACTGACAGTTAAAAAAGACAAAGAGGGACATTGTATAATGATAAAAGGGTCAGTCCAAGAGGAAAATATCACAATCCTTAATATATATGCACTTAACATGGGAGCTCCCAAATTTATAAATGATTATTCCTAGACATAAGAAATGAGATAGCAACACAATAGTAGTGGGAGACTTCAATACTCCACTAGACAGGTCATCAAGACAGAAACTCAATAATGAAACAATGGGTTTAAACTATACCTTAGAACAAATGGACTTAATGGATATATATGCACAACATTCTACCCCCAAAACTGCAGAATATACATTCTTTTCATCAGCACATGGAACATTTTCCAGGATAGAACATATGATAGGCAACAAAAAAAGTCTCAGTAAATTTAGAGAAAATTGTAATTATATCAAGTACCCTCTAAGATGACAGTGGAATAAAACTGGAAATCAACTCAAAAGTGAACCCTCAAAACCATGCAAATACATGGAAATTAAATAACCTGCTCCTGAGTAATCTTTGGGTCAACAGTGATATCAAGATGGAAATTTAAAAATTCTTTGAATTGGACAATAATAGTTACACGACTTATCAAAACCTCTGGGATACAGCAACAGGGGTGCTAAGAGGGAAGTTCATAGCAATAAATGTCAAAAAGAGCACAGATAGACAATCTAAGATCACACCTCACGGAACCAGAGAAACAAGAACAATGAAACCCAAACCCAGCAGAAAAAAGAAATAACCAAGATCAGAGCAGAACTAAATGAAATTGAAACAACAACAAAAAGATAAATAAAATGAAAAGCTGGTTCGTTGACAAGATAAATAAAATCAATAGACCATTAGCAAGATCAACCAAGAAAAGAAGAGAGATAATCCTAATAAGCTCAATTAGAAATGAAACTGGAAATATTACAGCAGATACCACAGAAACATAAAAGATTATTCAAGGCTACAATGAACACCTTTATGCACATAAACTAGAAAACCTTGAAGAGATGGACAAATTCCTGAAAGTACACAATCCTCCTGGATTAAAGCAGAAAGATATAGAATCTCCAAACAGACCAATAACAAGTAGTGAAAATGAAATGGTAATAAAAAATTACCAAAAACAAAGTCCAGAAGCAGACAAATTCACACCTGAATTCTATCAGACATTCAAAGAATTGGTACCAGTCCTATTGACACTATTCCAGAAGACAGAGAAAAATGGAATCCTCCCTAAATCATTCTGTGAAGCCACTATCACAATAATACCAAATACTTAAAGGGATAGAAAAATATATTCCATGCAAATGGACACCAACAGCAAGCAGAAGTAGTAGCTATTCTTATATCAGACAAAAGAAACTTTAAAGCAACAGCAGTTAAAAAAACAAAGAGGGACATTATATAATGATAAAAGGTCTTGTACAACAGGAAAATATCACAATCCTAAATATACATATATATATATTTATCTATTTTAATTTTTTTCAGAAGCGAGTTACTGAACTCCTTGATCTTTTGAATGGTTTTCCATGTCTCTATCTCCTTGATAATATATATATATATATCATGGACTATATATATGTATATATCATGGACTATATATATATCATGGACTATATGTATATATATCATGGACTATATATATATCATGGACTGTATATATGTATCATGGACTATATATATATATCATGGACTATATATATATCATGGACTCTATATATATATATCATGGACTATATATATAAAATCATGGACTATATATATATCATGGACTATATATATATCATGGACTCTATATATATATATATATCATGGACTATATATATAAAATCATGGACTATATATATATCATGGACTATATATATCATGGACTATATATATATCATGGACTATATATATATATCATGGACTATATATATATATCATGGACTATATATATATACATATTCAACAATGTGTATATATATCACTGAAACTCCAAAATTTATAAAAATTTATAAAACAATTACTACTGGACCTAAGAAATGAGATAGACAGCAGCACAGTAATAGTGAGTGACTTCAATACTCCACTGACAGCACTAGGCAGGTCATCAATCAAAACAGAAAGTCAACAAAGAAACAATGGACTTAAACTATACCATAGAACAAATGGACTTAACAGATATTTACAGAACACTCTATCCAACAACCTCAGAATATACATTCTATTCATCAGCACATGGAACATTCTCCAAGATAGACCATATGATAAGCCACAAAAGAAGTCTCAATAAATTTAAGATATTTATTTAAGAAAACTATATCAAGCACTCTATCAGAGCACAGTGTAATAAAATTGGAAATCAACTACAAAGGGAACCCTCAAAACCGTGCAAATGCATGGAAATTAAATAACCTGCTCCTGAATGATTGTTAGGTCAACAATGAAATCAAGATGGATATTTAAAAATTCTTTGAACTGAATGATAATAGTGATACAACCTATCAAAATCTCTAGGGTACAGCAAAGGCAGTGCTAAGAGGAAAGTTCATAGCATTAAATGCCTGCATCAAAAAATCTGAAACAGCAAAAATAAACAATATAAGGTAATTATATCAAATATCCTCTCAGACTATAGTGGAATAAAATTGGAAATCAACTCCGAAAGAAACTCTCAAAAATATAATCTTCTCCATAGTAACCTTTGAATCAACAATGAAAGTAAGATGGAAATTAAAAAATTCTTTGAACTGAATGATAATAGTGGCATGACTTATCAAAACCTCTGAGAGACAGCAAAATCAGTGCTTAGAGGAAAGTTTATAGCATTAAATGCCTACATCAAAAAGTCTGAAAGAGCACAAATACACAATCTAAGGTCATACATCAAAGAACTAAATAAACAAGAACAAACCAAACTCAAACCCAGTAGAAGAAAAGAGATAATGAAGATCAGAGAAGAACTAAGTGGAATTGAAACAAACAAAATATAGAAAAGGGAAATGAAACAAAAAGTTGGTTCTTCGAAAAGATAAAAAAAAAATTGATAGACCATTAGCCACATTAACCAAGAAGAGAAAAGATCCAAATAAGCTCAATTAGAAACTAAACAGGAGATATCAGCACTGATACTACATAAATATAAAAGATTATTTAAGGTAACTATGAACACCTTTATGCACACACACTAAAAAGTCTAGAGGAGATGGACAAACTACTGAAATATACAACCCTCCTAGATTAAATCAGGAAGAAAGAGAAACTCTGAACAGACCAATAGCAAGTAGAAAACAGTAGAAAACAAGTAGAAAAACAGACCAATCTTGTTTTTCAATAACAAGATTGAAAAAGCGATTTTTAAAATGCCGACCAAAAAGTTCAGGACCAGTCTTAAGAATGATACCATGGACTTTGGGGACTTGGGAGGAAAGGTGGGAGACAGATGAAGGATAAAAACTACTTATTGGATACAGTGTATGTACACTGCTCAGGTGATGGGTGCACCAAAATCTCAGAAATCACCAATAAAAAACTATTCCATGCAACCGAACACCACCTATTCCCCCAAAACTAATAAAATAATAAATAAATATATATATTTTTAAAATAAAAATAATAAGTAAATAAGAAAAACTAAAGGAATGGAGGAAAATTTACAAAGCAAATGGAAAACAGAAAAATTCAGGGATTGCAACCCTTGTTTCTGTTAAAACAGACTTTAAACCAACAAAAAGCAAAAAAGACAAAGAAGGGCATTACCTAATGGTAGAGGATTCAATTCAACAAGAAGAGCTATCTTAAATATATATGCACCCAACACAGGAGCACACATATTCATAAAGCAAGTTCTTAGATACCTTCAAAGAGACTTAGACCCCCCACAAATAATAGTGGGAGACTTTAACATCCCACTAACAATATTGGGCATATCATTGACAGAGAAAATTAACAAAAATGTTCAGGACCTGAACTCAGCTCTGGATCAAATGGACCTCACCGCCATATCTACAGAACTCTTCACCCCAAAACAACAGAATTTATATTCTTCTCATTGCCACATGGCACTTACTCTAAAATTGATTACATAATCGGAAGTAAAATACTCCTCAGCAAATGCAAAAGAACTGAAATCATAATAAACAGTCTCTTGGACCACAGTGCATCAAATTAGAACTCAAGACTAAGAAATTCACTCAAAACCATACAATTACATGGAAATTGAATAACCTGCTCCTGAATGACTTTCGGGTAAACAGTGAAATTAAGGCAGAAATCAAGAAGTTCTTTGAAACTAATGAGAACAAAGATACAACATACCAGAATCTCTGGGAAATAACTAAGGCAGTGTTAAGAGGGAAATTTCTAGCACTCAATACCCACATCAAAAAGCTATGAAGATCTCAAGTTAACAACCTAACATTACAACTAAAAGAAATAGAGAAACAGAAGTAGACAAATCCCAAAGCTAGCAGAAAACAAGAAATAACCAAAATCAGAGCTGAACTGTAGGTGATAGAGACATAGAAAAGCATTCAAAAGATCAAGGAGTTCAGGAACCCATTTTCTGAAAAAAATAAATAAATAAAATAGATAAACCTCTAGCTAGACTGATAAAGAAGAAAGAAGATTCAAATGAACACAATCAAAAATAATAAGGGGGATATTACCACTGACCCTACAGAAATACCAACAACTATCAGAGAATAGTATAAACACCTCTATGCACATAAACTAGAAAATCTAGAAGAAATGGACAAATTCCTAGACACATACACCCTCCCAAGACTGAGCCAGAATGAAATTGAATTCCCAAACAGACCAATAAAGAGTTCTGAAATTGAGGCAGTAATAAATAGCCTACCAACCAAAAAAAGAAAGCCCAGGACCAGATGGATTCACAGCTGAATTCCATTAGAGGTACAAAGAGCTGGTACCATTCCCATTGAAAATATTCCAAAAAATTTAGGAGGAGGGACTCCTCCTCAACTCATTCTATGAGGCCAGCATTATCATGATAACAAATCCTGGCAGAGACACAACAAAAAAGATAAACTTCAGGCCAAATATCCCTGATGAACATTGATGCAAAAACTCTCAACAAAATGCTAGCAAATCAAATCCAGTAGCACATTAAAAAGCTTATCCACCATGATCAAGTAGGCTTCATCCCTGGGATGCAAGATCAATTCAACATACACAAATCAATAAATGTGATTTATCACATAAACAGAACTGAATACAAACTTACATGATTATCTCAATAGATGCGGAAAAGGCTTTTGATAAAATTCAACATCCTTTCATGTTAAAAACTCTCAATAGACTAGGTATTGAAGGGACATAACTCAAAATAATGAGAGCCATATATGACAGACCCACAGCCAACATCATATTGAATGGGCAAAAGCTGGAAGCATTCCCATTGAAAACTGGCACAAACCAAGTCTTCCCTCTCTCACCACTCTTATCCAACATAGTATTGGAATTTCTGACCACAGCAACTAGGCAAGAGAAAGAAATAATGAGCATTCAAATAGGAAGAGAGGAAGTGAAGCTATCCCTGTTTGCAGACAACAGGGTTCTATATCTAGAAAACCCCATCATCTCAGCCCAAAAACTTCTTAAGCTTGTAAAAAACTACAGCAAGTTCTCAGGATACAAAATCAATGGCAAAAATTGCTAGCATTTCTATACACCAACAAAAGTCAAGTCAAGAGCCAAATCAAAAATAAATTCCCATTCACAATTGCCAGAAAAAGAATAAAATACCTAGGAATACAGCTCATAAGGGAAGTGAAACACATCTACCAGGAGAACTACAAACCACTACTCAGAGAAATCAGAGATGAAATAAACAAATGAAAAAACATCCCATACTCATGGATAGGAAGAATCAATACAGTTAAAATGCTCTTTTATAGATTCGATGCTATTCCCATTAAGCTACCACTGACACTCGTCATAGAACTAGAACAAAATGATTTTAAAGTACATGTGGAACCAAAAAAGAGCCTGAATAATCAAGGCAATCCTAAGCAAAAAGAACAAAGCTGGAGGCATCATGCTGACTTCAAACTATACTACAGAGCTTTAAAATATACTACAGTAACAAAAACAGCATGTTCGTGGTAACAAGAGCAGACATCTAGACTAATGGAACAGAATAGAGAACCCAGAAATAAGACTACACACCTACAACTATCCGAACATCAACCTGACAAAAGCGATGGGAAGAGGATTCCCTATTTAATAAACGGTGCTGGGAGAACTGGCTAGTCAAATACAGAAAACTGAAACTGGACCCCCTTCCTTACACCCTATACAAAAATTAACTCAAGATGGATTAAAGACTTAAATGTAACACCAAAAGCTATGAAAACCCTGGAAGACAACCTAGGCAATACCATTCAGGACACAGTCATGGGCAAATATTTCACAACAAAGACACCAAAAGCAATTGCAACACAGACAAAAATTGACAAATGAGATCTAATTAAACTGAAGAGCGTCTGCACACAAAATAAACTATCAACAGAGTAAACACACAACCTACAGAATGGGAGAAAACTTTTGCAAACTATGCATCTGAGAAAGGTCTAATATCCAGCATCTATAAGGAACTTAAACAAATTTAGAAGAAAACGCAATGTCATTAAAAAGTGGGCAAAGGATATGATAGACACTTCTCAAAAGAGGACATACATGTGGCCAACAATTATGAAAAAAAGCACATCACTGATAATTAGAGAAATGCAAATCAAAACCACAATGAGATACCATCTCAAACCAGTTAGAATGGCTAGAATTTAAAAAGTCAAAAATTATGGATGCTGACATGGTTGTGGAGAAAAAGGAATGCTGTTACACTGTTGGTGGGAGTGTAAATTAGTTCAACCATTGTGGAAGACAGTGTGTCAATTCCTCAAAGATCTAAACACAGAAATATCATTTGACCCAGCAATCCCATTACTGGGTATGTAACCAAAGAAATATAAATTATTCTATTATAAATACACATGCACTTGTATGTTCCTTACAGTACTATTTACAATAGCAAAGTCATGGAATCAACCTAAATGCTCGTCAATAATAGACTGGATACAGAAAGTGCAGTACATATACAACATGAAATACTAAGCAGCCATAACAAAGAATGAGATCATGTCCTTTGCAGGAACATGGCCCAAGCTGGAGGCCATTATCCTTGGCAAACTAACACAGGAACAGAAAACCAAATACCACTTGTTCTTACTTATATGTGGGAGCTAAATGATGAGAACACATGGACACATAGAGGGAATCAACACTCACTGGGGCCTATTGGAGGGTGGAGGGTAGAAGGAAGGAGAGAATCAGGAAAAATAGTGAGTACTAGGCTTAATACCTGGGTGATGAAATAATGTGTACAACAAACCCCCATGACACACATTTACCTATATAACAAACCTGCACATCCTACACATATACCCCTGAACTTGGAATAAAAGTTGAAAAAAAATAAGAATGACATAAAGCTCTCTTTTCACTCTTACCACAGTAGAAAATGTTAATCCATTTGCCTTGAATAGAGCAAAGAAAGGCAAGATTTTAAGATGAAGACCATGGTGGAAGACATGTAGATTTCACTGATACTCAGTGGTCAGTGAGGACATACCTACAAGTCCTAGACATTCCATGTCTTTTTAGGAAGACTTACTTAATGAAGCAAACACAGGAGATGGAACCTCCCTTGGGAAGAGGAGGTAAAATAGCAATAATTCCATGGCAGGGAGCAGTTTTAGTACCTACTAAGGAAAATTGAGAGTACAAAGGTAAGAGTTTTGGATTTTGCTAGGGATGGTGAGTCTGTAGGGAAATACATAGCCAACCAATTTACTTACAGAGTAATTAATTGGAAATGCAAGTTGTTCATTAACCAAGATAGCGTATATGTTAATCTACCAAAGCAGAATGCAAAAACTAGAAGAGAACAAGAAGGAAAACTGAGAGGTTTTAAATATTTGCAATGAAAAATTAAGGAAGAAAGTTGGTTTCAGGGAATATTTAGGAGCTGAGTTCTACCAAGGCAAATTTCAGAATGTTTTCTCAATGTAAAGGGGTAATAGAGGGTGCTCTCTGAGGAGGCTAGCACTAAAGGAAGTCAGGAGACAGAATTTGTCATATTGTTGCTATGTAAATATTACTCATCTCAATTACTCATAGATGAAAACTTTCACCCAACAGACTGTTTAAACATTTTGAAATAACTTTATTTTACTTCATTACCTAAACAACACATGACCACTTTAAATAATTTTTCAAACGGAAAACACAACAGTAATCTTAAATTCTTTTTTTTTTTTTTTTTTGTGAGATGGAGTCTCGCTCTGTCTCCCAGGCTGGAGTGCAGTGGCGCAATCTCAGCTAACTGCAACCTCCACCTCCCGGGTTCAAACGATTCTCCTGCCTCAGCCTCCCAAGTAGCTGGGACTACAGGCAGGCAGGACCACGCCCAGCTAATTTTTTGTATTTTTAGTAGAGACGGGTTTTCACCATGTTAGCCAGGATAGTCTTGATCTCCTGACCTTGTGATCTGCCAGCCTCGGCCTCCCAAAGGGCTGGGAGTATAGGCGTGAGCCACCGCACCCGGCCAGTAATCTTAAATTCTATAGATCTTTGTTATGAATTACTGCAGACCTGCTTCTCTAGACATACACATACTCAAAACACATACTCATACCCTTACACAAACACATGCACATACACAATCACATATCTATATTCACATATACATACCCATACACAATCACATACACATAACACAAGAATATACAATCACACACCTATACACACACATGTTAAAGTACACAGGCATGCACACATATTTCTACATGTACATGTGTACACACACTCAGTATGAGACTTTCCTGCGTGTGATTAGCAGGTGGGATGATGGCTGAATGTCAATATTGCAGAAAACTGCAGCTTAAAAGTTTCTGCTAATATCTTTCTTTTATATTAAAACTGAATTTTACCTCCCTACAGAATGTCCCTTTGTTCTGGGAAGATACAATTTAGTGAGTCCTTTTATTATGCAAATATAAAGCAAGGACTTTGTGTTCCAGTAGAAGACCTGAGTGCAATAAAACTGCAAGAATCAGTATGCCGCAGAGTGAGATGTTGTATTATGTCTATTAGTTTAAACTGAATGTATCTTTCAGCTGATTTGTGTCATGGGAGATTATATTTTCATTAGAGACTTTTATTTCCTAAGTTTGGATTTAGATGTTCTTCTACCTGTTAATAAAAATAGTAGTAGTAGTGCTTATTATTACTATTTGTTTTTAAAAGTTATGTTTTTTATTCTTAAAGCAGCTAGTTATAGGACATGCTGGTCTTAGAAGCATAAGAGAAGATAAATAAATAGATAGGATCTATTGTTTCATGCATTTATTTAACAAATCACTATAGAGGACCCACTGTATTTAAGGTACTATGTTAAACATAGAATCTACAGTGAGTTGAGTAGATGTGGTCCCTTAACTCAGAGAGTTTACCTTCTAGTGGGGGAATATTAAATAGTCAATTATGTTTTCAATTATTTAAATAAAATTTGCATAAGTTCTATAAACAAAATTTAAAGGCATAATAAGAGAGCTTATACAAGGGGAAAATAACTCACACTGGGAATTTAAAGAGATCATCTCTGAAAATTTATGATTCTATTTAAAGGATCAGTTCAATGCTAGGAGTGTCAAGTGGCTTTCCAGCTAGAAAGAACAAAAAGTGGAATGCTTAATATGGGCAGTAGAACAGTTCATTAAAGATTCTGAAAACTGATTTTTTGTAGCTAAGACGAGAGTAAGATGTAGAGTAGTGTAAGTTAAAGCTAGTGATGTGATTACAATCTAGGCCAGGGATGTGTTTAGATCATATGCCTAGACTATGCTAATTTCTGAGATTTTTTTTCTTTCTAAAAGCAGTGGGAATCCAACGAAGGATTTTAAAACAAGAAGGGACGGCATAGATTTTGGATTGTTATAGGTCTTTTTTACTTCAGTGCAGAGAATGAATTTGAAAGACAGTTAAGAGATAGCATCGGCCGGGCGCGGTGGCTCACGCCTGTAATCCCAGTACTTTGGGAGGCTGAGGTGGGCAGATCACCAGGTCAAGAGATCGAGACCGTCCTGGACAACATGGTGAAACTTTGTCTCTACTAAAAATACAAAAATTTAGCTGGGTGTAGTGGTGCGCGCCTGTAGTCCCAGCTACTCCGGAGGCTGAGGCTGGAGAATCGCTGGAACCCGGGAGGCGGAGGTTGCAGTAAGCCGAGATCACGCCACCGCACTCCAGCCTGGTGACAGAGCAAGACTCTGTCTCAAAAAGAGACAGCATCAATGGTGACTTTAGAATTTTGATATTAGAGAGACTTAAGGGAAGTAATTTAATTGTAAGGGAATTTGGTGAAGATTTAACTTGAAGGTAAATGTATAGTACCAAGTACCATTGTGCTTAGAAGATATGTTTATTTAGGTCAGGATGAATTTGTTGCTTAAGATTATTGGAATGGGTAATTTTAAAAATTGAAACTCTCCTTTTGGTGCTACCTTTAACTAGCATTGACAGAACTTGATAACATATTATGGAAAACAAGGAAGAGAGAGGATCAAGTATGAGTCCTAGGGGCCTAGTTTATAAGACTTTGTTACTTACCTGAGGCAAGAAAACCTGAATGAGGATCAGATTTGTGGGAAAATAGATGATGAGGTTGAGTTTAGACATGTTGATTTTGATGTGCCAGTAAGATATCCAAGCAAATACATTGGATTAAGAATAATGTAGTGGTCTAGAGCTCAGAGTAAAAATCTTACCTGAAAATACACATTGGAAAGTTTCAGCAAATTGACAGTAACTGATGCCATGGAAGCAGATGAGTTTTCACAGCAACAAAAAATGTAAGGTGTGAAAAGGACTCATAATTCAGCTCTGAGGAACATAGGCATCTAGATTTCAGAAAGAGAAGAATGAGTTAGATTGAGAAAGTGCAGAGAGCGAGACCAGAAAAAGCCAGGAAAATGTGAAGTCATGTAATACTTGAGAACATTCAAAGAAGGGTTAGTCAAACGTAACTTAAGGTCAGATAAGGTGAGAATAATAAAATGCCCATTAGCTTACATGGCGTGATGATCATTCATGACTTGCTAAAATAATTTGGTAAATTTATATGGGTCAAGTAGTAAGTGGCCTCTGAGGAGATGGAGAGAGTGCAAAGTCACACATCTTTGAAAAGTTTTATTTGGATTGTGCTTTCTCTTTGTTATGCTTTTTCTGTTTCTTACTGTCTTTTGGGTGGGGTTTTTTTTTTTCTCATGCTACTTTCTCCTACTGTTTACTTTTACAGGAATACCTTGAAGATATTGCCGGTTTGGTTCCAGACTACCGACAGTAAAATAAATACTGCAGTAATGCAAGTCACTTAAATTTTTTGGTTTCCCAGTGCATATAAAAGTTATGTTCATATTACACGGTAGTCTATTAAGTGTGCAATAACATTATGCCTTAAAAATATGTACAAACCTTAACTAAAAACATTTTATTGCTACAAAATGCTGACACAGAGAACACAAAAAAGGTGCATGCTATTGGAAAAATGGCACTGATAGACTTGTTTAGAGCAGGGTTGCCACAAACCTTCCATTTGCAAAAAATAAAAATAAAATAAGCAGTATCTGCAAAGTGCAATAAAACAAAGCACAATGAAGCAAAGTGAGCTTGTAGTTGTCATCATTAGGTATTCTACCTTGTATGGCTAACAGTGTTTAAATCTATTCGATTTCTTTAGTTTCCTTTGAAAGCATGAAAAAGACTTGGAAGCTTTAAGACTAATTACTCACAACCAATTCATGTTATTTTTGCCTAGCACTTTTTATTGGTGATATCATTAGGCGCCTGGAAGAAGCAAATAACTAACTT
This sequence comes from Homo sapiens, assembly GCF_000001405.40. Classification (NCBI taxonomy): domain Eukaryota; kingdom Metazoa; phylum Chordata; class Mammalia; order Primates; family Hominidae; genus Homo; species Homo sapiens. The sequence continues at coordinate 81,604,162 of NC_000010.11, forward strand.
GTTTTCCTCTCATAAATTAGATGTATTATGTGTTGATTGTGCTTTATCTGTATATTTTCCAATGATCGTTACTTAATATTCCTTTTTGTATTAACAAATTTACCATCCTAGATGTTTCTTCTACCCCCTAGGCAAGGGTTTCTCAGTCTCAGCACTTTTGACATTTGGAACCAGATAACTCTTTGCTGGGGAGGGTCATCCTGTGCATAGCATGTTTAGCAGCATCTTTGGCCTCTACTCACTAGATGCCAATAGAACCTTTCCCTCAGTAGTGACAACCAAAAATGTCTAGATATTTGTGAATGTCCTCTCTGTGGCAAAATTGCTGCTGGTTGAGATCCACTGCCCTCAAGTATAACCTTTGGACTTTTCTTTAGAGAGTTTTATTTTGCTTATCTGGGGAGGAAGGTAATAAACTTTCTTAGATTTTGCTTGTTTAAAAATGCATTTATTTTCTCCCATTCACAAAATATTATTTTCTGAGTACAGAGTATTCATTTTCTTCTCAATATATTTTTTAGAAAAAATAATATAGGTTTATTTAAAACAATTCACATCTTGAATATGCAAAATAGAAACTACACGAATTGTTTATTTTACTTTGTAGTTTACAACTATACAAATAAAAGTTTGCATAAATTTGTATTACATATTTATAAAGCAAGAAATTATATAGAAAAAAACATTTGTTCTGCTTAAGGCATACTTGGGAATAAACCATTGTACAAATTATTGCACATCTGAAACCATAGTGCATAACAGACTGTCTGCATAAAAATGTTAAAGAAGTAAACCAGGTGTATTTACCTGACTTCGGTCATAAATGTAAATTGGAAGACAAAAATAGATTTTCCTTGTCAAAGCATGCAGCAGTTTCAGAACTTAGGCTTTCTTATTTGGTACCTTTAGAACCAAGGCTCACCAAGTACCATCATTTAGGCTATTAAAACACATTTTTTGTACCTGAATTTCTTCCTCTTCTTCTAACATCATAATAATGGCTTCTAGAAGGCAAAGAAGAATCCAAGGTGATCTTTTATGCTTACATTGCATCAAAACACAATTCAAGGGAATTCTGGTCTTCCCTCCCTCAACCCATGAATCTAATTTATGCCCTGATATTCACAACTTCCAGTTACACCCTTGTAGGAATATTCAAGCTGGATTTAGAATTAAAATTATAGAAGATGCAGTCACAGGCCCCATCTTTGATTTTTGTCTTTCTGATTCCTCATTTTTCATGACTAGCCATTCACAGGTTGACTCAGTTGGAAACTTGACCACAATTGTAGTGCTTTACAGCTAGGCTCCTCCCCTCACTGGGAAGACAGTGTGAAAGGTAAAAAATACTGCATTATCTTCTGGCAGTGTGGGTCCTCTCGATATATTAATGACATTCTTCTATTTTCTTCTGGCTTCTGTGATTGCTGTCATGAGGTTAGCTTTCAGTTTAATTGCTGTTTCTTTTGGTGATCTGCCTTATCTCTCTGTTTACTTTTAAGATTTTCTCTTTTTCTTTGGGATTTTGCTTCTTCACTCTTCTATGTCTGTGTACTGATTACTTTCCTATGTATCTTGTTTGGGCTTTGTTAGGCTTCTTAGATCTCGGGATTTGTGTCCCAAATTTTCTTGAAAATTTTTAGTCATTAGCTCATCAAAGCTTATTTTTGTTCCTAATTCTTTTCATTATTTATTACTAGAACTCCAATAATTTTTATTCTAGATTGCCCACAGCGTCTTTTTTTGTTTGTTTGTTTGTTTTTTGTTTTTTTTTTTTTGAGACGGAGTCTGGTCTGTCGCCCAGCCTGGAGTGCAGTGGCGCAATCTCGGCTCACAGCAAGCTCCGCCTCTAGGGTTCACACCATTCTCCTGCCTCAGCCTCCTCCCGAGTAGCTGGGACTACAGGCGCCCGCCACCACGCCCGGCTAATTTTTTTGTGTTTTTAGTAGAGACGGGGTTTCACCATGTTAGCCAGGATGGTCTCGATCTCCTGACCTCGTGATCCGCCCCCCTCGGCCTCCCAAAGTGCTGGGATTACAGGCGTGAGCCACCGTGCCCGGCCCACAGTGTCTTTCTTTAATCTCAATACCTCTTCAACATTTTGCAAATTTTCATCTTCTTAACCTTCAAACTTGGATCTACATTCTAGTTACCAATATCCTTTTTTGTCTAATCTTTTGATGTTTCATTTCTAAATTTTTAATTTATTTAACTTGTTCGTTACCCTGCTCATATTACTAAGCATCTCTTTCATGTTTGTAAACATACTATACAGTTATGGTAAATTGTGTCTTATAATTCTAATACTTGAACTTTTGTTGGTTTGTCCGTGGGTTGTTTAGCTGATTCTTACTCACAGTGTCTTATTAACTTGTGTGTTTTGTGATTTTTGGCTATGAATTCTTATTTTCTTTATGAAAATATTTTGAGTCCTGAGATCAAGTTGGATACTTCATTTACTTTTGCTTGTCACCTAAAGGGCATTGCCAACACAAGACTGCTTCACATGCGGTTTTGAGGCACAAACAGTTAGTTTTCATGGGACTTTGAACCCTATAAAGAGATGACTTCTAAATTTTCTTGGTAGATTTTCCGCATTCACTTATCGATAATTTTTGCTTCTACCTTTTGCAATGTATCTTACTTCTCATTCATCCTTACATTTTGGGTTTTCCCTTTTACACTATTGGATTAGCTCTTTGGGATTTCAACATTAAATTAGGTATCTCCTGTTTCATTTCTCAAGTTGGTGGGTGTTAGCTTTTTATCTTTTATTCTCTGGCTTCCATGCAGTTATTGAGAAAGTAGTCACAATTACCCAGGGACCAAGAGAAACCCTGAGAGAGAAAAATCATCTTTGCTACCAAATGTTTCTCACCCTTGTGTTATATTTGCTATAGGTTAAAAACACTTAAGAATATATATTTTGTATCATGTTAATATTTTTCAAGAAAAGTCAGTGAAGGCATTTAATCTGCTCTATTCTGGGACATGGAACTAACTTCAAGTTTTGAAGAATGGGGTAAAATGACTGAGACACAAGTAGACCATAGAGATAAGGAGAAATCTTTTAAACTTAGGCTTCTGTTAGCTCACATGTCCTCCATTCCAATTAATCTTGATGACAGTATTCAAAGAAGGCTGGGACCAGTGTACTGGGAATAATACTGTTCCTCTGATTTCTCTCATATACATTTATTAATATGTCTTCTGATGAATTCTACCTTTCTGTGAGCAAGACAAGCCACCTCTCTGAATGTAAGCTTCTTCAAAGAAAAAGTGAAGATAGGTGAAAATTGCAATATCATAATAAGTTGTGGTTAGGTTAGAACTGCAGAAGCACTAAACACAGTGACTGACCCATGGAAGATATTCAATAAATGCTGATTGATTTCACATTGGAATTCTCTATCAGCATTGTGAGAAAGAAGATAAATGACTGACAAAAGAATGTAGAGTATGAAATGTAAAGATTGGGAGGAGGAGCTCACAGTCTCATGGTTACAGAAATCTTAGTGCTTATTCGATCTAATTTGTGTCTTTTTATTGCATTTCTTTGCTCATTAGCTGATTTATAAATGTTTACTTATCTTTTATAAAGCCTTCTCTTCCTTTCTTTGATATTGATTGATAGAATCAATGTATGGATGGAATTGAGTTACTGACAATTTCTTAAGGTAACTATAAGATTTAAATTGATGTTTTATATGATAGCACAAACACTCAGAAGTTACCACATATGCAATATTAGCCTTACTCTCATTTTTTGTGTGTTGATAGAAAAATCTTCAATTTAAAATATTCAAACCTTTAATTACCTACCTTTTAAAAAGAATTCACCCTCTCTCTCCCTACCCACCTCCTACCCCCGTGTGCGTGCGTGTATGTATGTATTTCTAAAGTATTAGTAGTCTTATTTCAAATCTAGTTCAATTCCTTAGATTGGCACAAAACAATCATTAATCATAGTTTGAAAGAGCTTACACACTGAGGCTTTGATGCTTGCTGTGTATGAAATCCTGAGGCCATCTTGTAAATAAACTGCAGTTAGCCTACTGGAAAGGCCTTGTGGTTGGCATTTAGGTGCCCTCTTGACAAAATGTCAAACACCAGACATGTAAGAAGGCTATTCGAAACTATTCAGGGTCCAGTGAACCCTCCATCTGACCTTAGACAGATGAGAGAACTTGGACAAGAAAGAGCGTTAAGCTTATCCACAGAACCAAGAGCTAAATGAAATGATAATTGTTTTACATTTTGGTATGTTTTGCTATACAGCCAAAGCTGTCTGACATATTATTGGAGATTTTAGGTTTTGTTTGTTTGCTTGCATCTGAGAATCTTTCTATTTTGTTCAGGGTAGTATAAAGATTGAATGTGATATGTAGGTGAAATAGCACATAGGCTCTTTTATAGTAGGTTTTTAATAGCTAATACTTATTGTTACTGGAAAAAAGTTAATAGCAGATTTGTGTCTATTTCTCTAATGTCAGAAGTACCTGAGGATTGACCCTTTGTAGGATCCTATATATAAAATGAACTCAAAGAATTTATAAGATTATACCATAAACGAGCTAAATGAGATTAAAGCCAAAGTTAGCACACTGAACTCTGCACTTACACCGCATTGAAAATTTCTACTGAATGGAGAGATGCACCTACATCAGAGAATGAGAGCAAGTTATGTATTATGAAAATCACTATGTGATTAGAAAGCAAAATACCTGAAAAGATCCTAGAGAATATGATTCCTTGAGCTGAGATAAACCATGACCCCCGGCCTCACCTCTTGGCCACACATACCCTAACTGTGTAGTTATTTGGAAACTTTGGAAGATTTTTTCTAGAAGTCACAAGATCTCTCTATGCTGTTAACACTTATGATATGTGGTCTGTTCTAGTTACTATTGCTTCATAATGAGTTACCTTAATAGAAATCCAAACTTTAAATGTTCAAAACAAAATGATTGATTTCCTCCCACCTGAAGTCTGATTTTTTTTTCTCAGTTTTCTCTATTTTGGTAATATATTCTACCCATTTTTTTAAACTGTTTCTGGGTATGTCTAAAGGAGTGTGTTAAGATAAACATGAGAGACTGAAAAAACTTTCACGGAAGAATGAACTCCAGCAGAAGACTAATCAGAACCTTGACTGAAGTAATTTTGCAAGAGTGAGGGAAGGACAGTGATTCTTAGCACAGTCTAGCGTTTCTCACTAAAATTGTCTTCTGGAACCACCTTATGGATTCATGCCTTTTCCTTTGAACACAGCATGCTGCCACAAAGTAGTTGTTACAAAACAAAACAGCTGTTTATTTTCCAGCTCTATGGGACATAAAAGGCTTAAGATATGCTCCATGTTAGAGTCATCTGCCGTGTACCTGTCAAGAGATGCTGCATGAGGCCATCAGAAACCAGATTGGAGTGCTTTGGGGCAAACATGAGGAGAAATTAACAGCACCCTGAATACCTTTTGTGAGCATTAATGTGGTAACATTTAGTGGGCATTAATGGTATTAGCTGCCACTTTAGGCATTGGTATAAGTAGAAGAGGTGGAGAAGATAAAAATGGAGGCCAAGGCGAGCAGATCACGAGGTCAGGAGATCGAGAGCATCCTGGCTAAAACGGTGAAACCCCGTATCTACTAAAAAATACAAAAAAAATTAGCCGGGCGTGGTGGTGGGCACCTGTAGTCCCAGCTACTCAGGAGGCTGAGGCAGGAGAACGGCATGAACCCGGGAGGCAGAGCTTGCAGTGAGCTGAGATCGCACCACTGCACTCCAGCCTGGGCAACAGAAAGAGACTCTGTCTCAAGTAAATAAATAAATAAATAAATAAATAAATAAATAAAATAAAATGGCAAGTGCCAAATATATGACTTTCCGAAGAATTCTACTACCACATTAGAAGAATCTAAAGAGATGCAGGTTGGGGTACAGTGGAAGATATGTTAGTCTACTACAGTCAATATGGCCCCATCCTTACTCTCAAGGCACTATGACACACCAAATATCAGGTACGACTACCACCTTTCTAAACCAAAAGGTTTCCCCAGGGATATTTCTTTAGTCAGTATTGTCTTGATTAAGATCACATTGATCAAATTGTATAAAAGGTTATATTTGTGTGTGTCATCGCCTTCTGCTCTATCATACAAAAGCATTTCTATTCAGAAAAATATGCACAGCTGGCTGTATTAGTGTTCCACATGCATCAGAGTGAATTTAGAGTTCTGATAAAAGCTTCCAAAAATCTTTTCTCTGTACCATAAAATGAAACTCACTTTGAAGCATTCATTCAAATTGTCAGCTTTATAGATTAATATTGGGGAAGTGACTGTTTTTATACATACCTATACAATTTAATTTTTTATATGTGAGAACAGGTATAATGTTTTCAAATGTCAGCTGATTTATGCTTTTTTATTAATTTGAACTTACTTCTAAGCCCCACTCACTTGTAATTGAGGTAAAGCCATGAAGCTAGAGTCAGAAAGAATATGACCTAGAAAAAGCAAAAGACCAAAATTTCACTCTTAAAAGTCTAGCAGCCGGGCGTGGTGGCTCATGCCTGTAATCCCTGCACTTTGGGAGGCTGAGATGGGCGGATCTTTTGAGGCCAGGAGTTCCAGACCAGCCTGTCTCCACTAAAAATACAAAAAATCAGTTGGGCATGGTGGCACGCACCTGTAATCCCAGCTATGTGGGAGGCTGAGGCAGAAGAATCGCTTGAACCCGGGAGGCAGAGGTTGCAGTGAGCTGAGGTTGCACCACTGCACTCCAGCCTGAGCAAGAAGAGCGAAACTCCGTCTCAAAATAAAATAAAATAATAATAGTAAGTCTAGCTCTGAAAAGGGAAGAGCAATCAATTTTCCCTAATACCCTACCAAGGGGTTTTGTGAAGAAGAAAAGTGATAGGGCGTAAAAGATGACTGAAGTATGTATTTCTATCTCTCATCTCCAAGCTAAAATCCTAGAGTGTACGTGTATCATACAGATGGATAAGAAATGTAAACACAGAAAAGATTACTACTCTGTCTCTTGTTTAAAATATTTCCAGCCTTGTAGCAACTTGGGGCTGAGCTTCTTCAAAATAAACCTGATGGCACAAGATGCCTTGGCCAAGGAAGGAATCAAGTTTAGTTTATCTAAAAGCAATCCTTTTTTCTTTTTTTTCTTTTTTCTTTTTTTTTGAGACGGGGTCTGGCTCTGGTCACCCAGCCTGAGTGCAGTGACACAATCTTGGCTTACTGCAGCCTTGACCTCCTGGGCTCATGTAATCCTCCCACTTTAGCCTCCAGGCTAATTTTTATATTTTTTATAGGGGGAGTTTTGCCATGTTACCCAGGCTAGTCTCAAACTTCTGGGCTTAAATTATCTGCCTCCCTCGTACTCCCAAACTGCTGGGATTATAGGTGTGAGCCACTGTGCCTCACCTATCTAAGCAATCTTTAGTTCCCAGGTGACAAAGAGAGGAAATATGAGAAACCCAGAGTTTTGCATGTTTCCTTGAAGCAAGTCAATGAAGGTAACTTCATGGGTAACAGTTTTTCTTTATGAAAGTACACTTATAATCACAATTAAATATTCTTACACACCTACAGGAAATTAAAGGAACTGACCATAGTAAGTATTGGTGAGATGATAGAGTAATCAGAATTCTCATGCACGCCTTGTGGGAATATACATGTTACAAATATTTTCATAATTGTTTAGAAGTTCCTTCACTGTAAATATTCACTTATATCACCCAGTCATTCTACTCCCTCCTTGACATTTACCCAATAGGAATGAAAGTGTGTATCCATACAAATACTTGAACTTTAATAGTCTTAACAACTTTAGTTATATATAGAAAAATATGGAAACCCAAATTTGAATGAATAAAATGTTTGCAGTACATCCATAAAATGGAATACCATTTAGTAATCCAAAGAAATAAACTGTTAATTCAATGAGAATGAATATCAAAGTCATTATATTAAAAGAAAGAAGTCAGACAAGCAGTAAATACTTGTTTTTTTATGCAAAATTCTAGAAAATGAATTCTATAGTGGTAGAAAGCAGATTAATGCTTACCTGAAAAGTAGTGGATAGAGAGGGAGGAAAGGGAAGAAATTTTAAAAGGGAAAATTCTTGAGGTTTATGCATATATTTATTATTTTGAATGTGCTGCTGGTTTTATGAGTTTATGCCAAAACACATCAAATTGTACACTACAGCAGAGGCAGTTTAGTGCATATAAATATTACCTTATTTAAACTGTTAAAAAATACAGTATGTAGTTTGATGATTTGACAAATGTTTACAGCCATATAACCAATGCTGCAATCATGATATAGAAACTTTCCATCAACCTCAAAATTAACCCTATGCCTATTTTGCAGAGTCATCTTCTCCTTCATGATCCCTTGACAACCATTGATCTACTTCTTTATCCTATATTTTTGCCTTTTCTATAATGTCATACAGATTAAATTCAGTATCTAATTTTGTTGTTGTTTTTGGCTTTTTAATGTTGTGCTTTTGAAATTCATTTATGGTCTGTCATGGATCAGTAGTTTGTTATTTTTTATGACTGAGAAAAATCCATTTTAGGGATAGACCATAATTTGATTATTCATTTGCTAGTTGTTTGATATTTTGTTTTTTTCCAATATAGTGCTCTTAGAAATATATCTTTTTTGAGCATTCATGTACATGACTTTGGGTGGATGTATACATGTTTAGATCCTAGGTAAATTAAATATGAGTGGATTGTTGTGGTGTAAGGTAAGAGTTTGTTTAACTTTACTTTTTAAAGTGCGTTTTTCAAAATGATTGCACCAATTTGCATTCTTACTATCAATTTATAAGAGTTCCAGTTGCTTTACATCATTACCAGTTTATCACTGTTCTAGTTGTTCTACATCATCAATATTTGGTATTGTCAGTTCTGTAGACATTGGCTATTTGAATGAGAATGCAGTGATATCACATTGTGGCTTTAGTCTGCATTTTTCTGGTTATTAATTATTTTAGTCGTATTTTATACAGTCATTGAACATTTATGTATCTTCTTCGGCAGAGTGTCTTTTAAATCATTTCCACATTTTTTTTTTTTTTTTTTGAGACGGAGTCTCGCTCTGTCGCCCAGGCTGGAGTGCGGTGGCGGGATCTCGGCTCACTGCAAGCTCCGCCTCCCGGGTTCACGCCATTCTCCTGCCTCAGCCTCCCAAGTAGCTGGGACTACAGGCGCCCGCCACTACGCCCGGCTAATTTTTTGTATTTTTAGTAGAGATGGGGTTTCACCGTTTTAGCCGGGATGGTCTCGATCTCCTGACCTCGTGATCCGCCCGCCTCGGCCTCCCAAAGTGCTGGGATTACAGGCGTGAGCCACCGTGCCCGGCCCATTTCCACATTTTTAATGGATTGTTTGCCTTCATCTTATTGAGATTTAGAAATTCTGGACAGTTTTTTTTTCCCAAAATGGTTGACTAGAGGCATTTTAGGCAGCTCTCATCCACTTAGAGGAACCAAAATAGTGTGTAGATGATCACGCTTTGCATACATTATCTAAGAGGGAGCATGGAGAATGAACAGATGAGTGACAGGAAATGCTAAAATGGAGGAAGAAGAAGAAAACAGACAGACTGCGTGGCCAGGACTAGTCAGGAACTGGAAGTGAATCACCAAAATGGTTGAAGGTAATTGTCTTCCTGCAGTCCACTTTTCCTCTGTGTGATCATAAAATCTAGGCCATGGAAGAGCATTGACTTGGAGAGCAGTCCGGACACTATAAGAAAAAACTGCTTTAGCAGGGAAATACGCCTTGGGTTTCATGTCCTTTCTGAGACCTGTGCAGCTAAAGTAAGATGTCATTCTTGATATGTCTTTTAACTGGGCATAGTCCTGGGAACCAGTGATGCAAGTCCCAGGCATTAGGAAAACTTGGGCTGCTACTTGCAGAGCTGGGTCATGAGTGTGGCATGGGCTTCCACAAACAGGACTGAGAACTGAGTGAGTGAGGCGTGGACTGCAGCAGCTGCTGGTGTTGGATTGGTCAATGCTTCTGGGACCTAAGCAACATGAGCATTGCCACAATTATCACAGAAACTTGGTCTTGAGCTGGGCATGGGGATGGGGGTCGGAGGGCTTCTACAGGTGCTGAGTTTGGGGCTAGGCACAAATTGCTACATCTAACTGAACAGTCAGGTCAGCTGTGACAGCTGGAGTGAGGTGGAAAACCCCACCAGGACTGGGGCGAGAGAAGGATGTAAGTGCCCCATCCACTGGCCAAGGCTGTGACCAGTAGGACTGCTCTCACCCTCCCCATGGTAGGGCCTCAGTATAGCAATGGTGACTCCTCACCCATGCATTTCACCAGGGGCCTCAGGATCACTCCAGTCCTTCATCATGGCTGGTGAATGCTCTCATCACTGGGGGCCTGAGCCAAGCTTGCCTGGCTTGACTCCACTCGGCATCCGCCCATCTACTAGCCTACAGCACAGTCTGCACAGCCCGTTGCAACCACTGCCAACACAAGCAGTGTTTGGGAATCAGAAGAGCATTTCGCCACCACTACTATTGGCATTGCCTATACCACACTGGCTGCCCAGGTGTTAGAAGATTCCATTCCCCCACCTGGTATACTGCTACTATAAGTGGGATCTGAGAAAGCCACCCAGAGGACCAAGAATTGGCATGCTTGGAATGACCAATATAGGTGCCAGCGTATGCTTCCCCAGAATGCAAGGCTAGACATGCTTAGCCCACCACCATTACCACCGAAACATAAAGATGGACCCATCTGGCTCTTCAGTTCCCTGCACAACTTAAACACAGCCCCCACCAATAAGTGCAACATAACACACCAAAGATAGCACAGATACCACTAATGCTACTTGTAGTCAACAAAATCCTAGAGTCATCACTACTGCACATGCCTCAAAGTAAAGTCAAAGCACACTACCCAATCAACATCATAGTCAGATCTTAAGGAAAATGTCCTTCTCCCCAGTGAAAGTAAACTCAAAAATAAGAAGAAACGAATATTACATCAGATGCTCAGAAATCAATGTAATGGTACATGAAACATTAAAAGCAAAGTAATATGACACCCTCAAAGGAACACAATAATTCTCCAGCAATAGATTTTAACCAAAAAATTCTCAAAACAAGAGATAATGAATTCTGAACATTAATTGTAAAGAAGCTCAATGAGATGCAAGAGAATTTGAAAACCAGTACAAAGAACTCAGAAAAATCCATTCAAGATATGAATGAGAAATTTACCAAAGAAATAAATATCTTAAAACACACAACAAACAGAACTTCTGGAAATAAAAAAGAATCATTGAAGGAATTACAAAATACATTCAAAAGCTTTAGCGACAAACTATACCAAGCAAAGTAAAGAATTTCAAAACTGGAAGACATGTCTTTTGAAATGATTCAGTCAGACAAAACAAAGAAAAAAGATTAAGAAAAAATAAACAAAGCCTTTGAGAAATTGGAGATGTCATAGAGCAACCAAATGTGCAAATTATTGATATTGCCAAGAGTGAAGAGAGATCAAAAGGCTAAGAAAACCTATTTAACAAAATTACATATGAAAACTTCCTAAGACCTAGGCATTCAGATGCAGGAGGCTCAGAGATTCCCAGGAAAATACAATGCAGAAAGGATTTTGCCATGGCATATCATAATCTGACTGTCTACACTTACTGTAAAAGAACAAATTTTAAAATTAGCAAGAGCAAAATGTCTAGTCCCCTATAAAGGAAAGCCCATCAGAGTAACAGCAGAATTCTCAGTAGAAACCTTACAAGCCAGAAGAGAGTGGGGTAACATATTCAAAATGCTGAAAGAAAAAAACCTGCTCTTCAAGAATATGATATCCAGCAAGATTAACATTTATAAAGGACAAATAATGTATTTTCTAGACAAGCAAATCTGAGGGAAGTCATGATCACTAGACTGGATCTACAAGAAATGTTCAAAGGAGTCCTAAATTTGGAAGCAAAAGGACTACATTCATCACCATGAAAAGAAAGTATAAAACTCACTGGTAAAGCAATCACACAAAGGAGGAGACAAAAAAGAATCAAATGACACTACTATTGAATTCCGTAGAATCACAGAGAAAAAAAAGAAACAAAGAATTTATAAAACACCTAGAAAGCAATTAACAATATGACAAAAAAAAATCCTCACATATTAATAATAATCTTAAATATAAGTAGATGAAATGCTTCACTTAAGAGTTAGATTGGCGTAATCCCAGCACTTTGGGAGGCCAAGGCAGGTGGATTACAAGGTCAGGAGGTCAAGACCTTCCTGGCTAACACAGTGAAACCCCGTCTCTACTAAAAATACAAAAAATTAGCCGGGCCTGGTGGCAGGCGCCTATAGTCCCAGCTACTCGGGAGGCTGAGGCAGGAGAATGGCATGAACCCAGGAGGCGGAGCTTGCAATGAGCCAAGATGGCACCACTGCCCTCCAGCCTGGGAGACAGAGCGAGATTCCGTCTCAAAAAAAAAAGAGTTATAGATTAGCGAGATGGATAAACAGAAGGGGGATTCAACTGTATACTGCTTATGATAAATACCTTATTTGTGAAGACTCGATAGACTGAAAGTAAAAGGATAGAAAAAGATATTCCATTATTCCATGCAAACGGGAACCAGAAGTGAGCAGGAGGAACTATACGTATATCAGACAAAACAGACTAAATCAAAAAATGTAAAAAAAAATTAAGGTCATTATATGATGATAAAATGATAAATTATATATGTACTCAACAGTGGAGCACCCAGGTTTGTAAAACAAACATTAGTAGACCTAATGAGAGAGAGAGAAATCAATACAGTAAGAATGAGGGACTTCAACACCCCATTCACAGCCTTAAACAGATCATCTATACAGAAAATCAAGAAAGAAACATTGAACTTAAACTGGATTTTTGCCTAAATAGACCTAACAGACATTTACAGAACATTCTACTCAATGACAGCAGAATACACATTATTTTCATGAACACATGAAACATTCTTCAAGATAGACCATACATTAGGCCACAAAACAAGTCTCCATAAATTTTTAAAAATAAAAAATATATCAAGTTTCTGCACAAACCAAATGGGAATAAAACTAGAGTTCAATACCAACAAAAACATCAGAAATTATACAAATATATGCAAATTAAACAATATGCTCCTGAAGGACCATTAGTCAACAAATGAGATGGAAACTTAAAAAAAGAAACAAATGAAAATGGAAACACAATATACCAAAACCTGTGGGAAACAGCAAAAGCCATGCTAAGTTGATAACATTAAATGCCTATATCAAAAAAGTAGAAAGATACAAGTTAAAAATCTAATGATGCATGTCAAAGAACTAGAAATACAATAACAAAACACCAAAAATTAACAAAAGAAAATAAATAACAGAGCAGAATTAAGTGAAATAGAGACCAAAAAACAACATAAAGTGTCAATGAAATGAAAAATTGATTCTTCAAAAGATAAAATTGATACACTGCTAGCTATACTAAAAAAGAAAAGAGAGAAGACCCAAATAAATTCAGAAATCAAAAACAAGACATTAGAAGGGATACTACAGAAATATAAAAGATTATGAGAGGTTATTATGAACAACTGTAAATTCATGAACCAGAAAACTTAGAGGAAACAGATACATTCCTGGAAACATACAACCTCCCAAGATTGAGCAAGAAAGAAATTGAAAACCTGGACAGACTAATGGTAAGTAGTTCAGGACCAGATGGATTCACAGTCAAATTCTATAAAACATACAAAGAAGAACTAATACCAATCTTCCCAAAACTGTTCCAAAAAATAGAGGACAGAAATCTTCCTAATTCATCCTACAAGGCCAATATCATTCTGATACCCAAACCAGAGACACACACAAAAGCAAACTACAGACTAGTATTACTGATGAACATAAATGCAAACATTCTCAACAAAATACTAGCAAACTGAATCCAACAGCACATTAAAAAGATAATCCTATGATCAAGTAGGTTTTATACCAGGGATACAAGGACAGTTCAATACGCATGAATCAGTAAATGTGATACATCACATTAACGAAATGGAAAACAAAAACCATATAATGTGCCAAAAGATGCAGAAAAGCATTTGATACAATTCAGCATCCTTTCATGAAAAAAAGCCTCAATGAACTAGGCAAAAGAGGAACATACCTCAAAATAATAAATGCCATATATGACAGCCCCACAGCCAACATCATATAGAATGGGGAAAAGTTGAAAGCATTTCCTCTAAGAACTGAAACAAGATAAGGATGCTCACTTTCAACACCTCTATTCAACTTAATCCCAGAGATCCTAGCCAGAGCAATCAGGCAAGAGAAGGAAAGAAAAGTTTTAAAATTGGAAATGAGAAAGTCAAATTATGCCTGTTCCCTGATGACATAATCTTATATCTGGAAACACCTAAAGGCCTCATCCCATCAAAAAACTCATAGATTTGATAAATGAATGTATTAAAGTTGCAGGATATGAAATCAATGTATAACCGTCAGTAGCATTTCTATAGACCAATAATGATCTAGCTAAAACAAATTCAAGCTGGCAATCCCATTTACAATATCTACAAAAAAATAAAATTCCTAAGAATGAATGTAACCAAAGAAGGGAAAGATCTGTACAATAAAAACTACAAAAATCTACGAGAAAAACTACAAAAAAAACTACAAGGAAAAACCACAAAAATCTACAAAAGAAATTGTAGGCAACATAAAGAAATGGAAAAAAAATCCAATGTCCACGGATTAGAAGAATTAATATGGTTAACATGACCGTACTGCCCAAAGTAATCTACAGATTCAATATAATCCCTATCAAAATGCCAATATCATTTTTTATAGAATGGGAAGATAAAATACTAAAATTTATATGGAACCAAAGAATAACCCAAATAACCAAAGCAATCCTAATCAAAAGAAACAAAGATGGAAGTAACACATTACCCGACTTTAAGATATATCACAAGGCTGTAGCAACCAAAACAACATGGTACTGGTATAAAAATGGACAAATACATCAATTGAACAGAATAGAAAACCCAGAACAAATCCACATATTTATAGCCAATGGGTCTTTGACAAATCCACCAGAAACATACTTCGGGGAATGGATAAACTTTTCAACAAATGGTGCTGAGAAAACTGGATTGCCACATGCAGAAGAATGAAAGTTGACTCCTATCTCCTACCCTATTAAAAAATCAACTCAAGGTGAATTAAAGACATATATATAAGACCTGAAGCTATAAAACTACTAGAAGAACCCCTACAGAAAACTTTTCTAGACGTTGATCTAGGCAAAAAAGTATATGATTGAAACCTCAAAAGCATAGGCAACAAAGGCAAAAACAGACAAATGGGACTTAATTAAACTAAGAAAGCTTCTGTATAGCAAAATAAATAATCAACAGAGTGAACAGGCAACCTGCAGAATGTGATACAATATTTGCAGTCTATTCATCCAAAAGGGGACTAATATACAAAATGTAAAAGAAACTCAAACAACTCAACAACAACAAAAACAGACTTCACCAATAATATTAAAAAGTGGGCAAAAGACATGAATAGGCATTTTTCAAAAGAAGACATATCAAGATGAACTGTTATATTTAAAAAATGATCAACATCATTAATTATCAAAGAAATTCAAATAAAAACTTCAATGAGATATCATCTTACCCAAATCAGAATGACTATTTTTTTAATTTTTAAATTATTATTCTTTTTAATTTTGTGGGTACATAGTAGGTATATATATTTATGGGGTACAAGAGATGTTTGGATACAGGCATGCAATGTGAAATAGAACATCATGGAGAATGGGGTATTCATCCCCTCAGGCATTTATCCTTTGAGTTACAAACAATCCAATTATTCTTTAAGTTATTTTAAAATATAATATTAAGCTATTGTTGACCACACTCACCCCACTGTGCCATCAAATAGTAGGTCTTATTCACTCTTTCAATTTATTTGTATCCATTAACCATCCCCAACTCCCACAATCCCCCACTACCCTTCCCAGCTTCTGGTAACCATGCTTCTACTCTGTTTGTCCATGAGTTCAATTTATTTGATTTTTATAATTTGATTGTTATATCCCACAAATAAGCGAGAATGTGTGATGTTTGTCTTTCTATGCATAGCTTATTTCACCTAACATAATGATCTCCAGTTCCATCTAAGTTGTTGCAAATGATTCAATCTCATTATTTTTTATGACTGAATAGTACTCCATTACACGTGCACTCCTTAGGCATGGTGCACCATTATGTACCACATTTTTTTACCAATTTATTTCTTGATGGACAGTTAGGTTACTTTCAAATCTTAGCTACTGTAAACAGTGCTGCAGCAAATATAGGAGTGCATATATCTCTTTGATATATGAAGCTTTTTTCTTTGGGTTATAATTCCAGCGGTGGGATTGCTGGATCATATGGTAGCTCAACTTTTAGTTTTTTGAGGAACCTCCAAATGGTTCTCTGTAGTGGTTGTAATAACTTACATTCCCACCAACAGTGGACAAGAGTTTCTTTTTCTCCACATACTCACCAGCATTTGTTATTGCTTGTCTTTTGGGTATAAGCCATTTTAACTGGGGTGAGATGGTATCTCATTATAGTTTTGATTCACGTTTCTCTGATAATCAATGATGTTGAACACCTCGTCTTCTTTAGAGAGATGTCTTTTCAAATCTTTTACCCATTTTTATTAGATTATTAGATTTTTTTTTCCTAGAGTTGTTTGAGCTCCCTATATATTCTGGTCATTAATCCCTTTTCTGAGGAGTAGTTTGCAAATATTTTCTCCTATTCTGTGGGCTGTCTCTTCACTTTGTTGATTGTCTTATTTGCTGTGTAGAAGCTTTTTAACTTGGAGTGATCCCATTTATCCACATTTGCTTTGGTAGCCTGTGCTTGTGGGGCATTGCTCAATAAATCTTTGCCTGGAAAAATGTTCTGGAGACTTTTTGCAATGTTTTCTTGTAGTAGTTTTATAGGTTTAGGTCTTGGATTTAAGTCTTTAATCCATTTAGATTTGATTTTTGTATATGGCAAGACAGAGGGGTCTGGTTCCATTTTTTTGTATATGAATATCCAGTTTTCCCAGCACCGTTTATTGAAGAGACTGTCTTTTCTCCAGTGTATGTTCTTGGCATCTTTGTCAAAAATAGTTTTACTATATGTGTGTGGATTTGTTTCTAGGTTTTCTTTTTCTGTTTCATTGGTCTATTTGCCTGTTTTTATGCCACTGCCATGCTGTTTTGGTTGCTATAGTTCTGTAGTTTAATTTGAAAACAGATAATGTGATTTCTTCAGTTTTGTTCTTTTTGCCTAGGATAGCGTTGGCTGTTCTGGGTCTTTTCTGGTTTCCTATGAATTTTAGGATTTTTTTTCTATTTATATGAAGAATGTCATTGGTCTTTTGATAGGGATTGGATGGAATCTGTATTTTGCTTTGGGTAGGATGCACTTTTTAACAATATTGATTCTTCCAATCCACGAACATGAAATAATGAAATATTTTTCCATTTTTTAGTGTCCTCTTCAATTTTCTTCTTCAGCTTTTTATAGTTTTCATTATAGAAATATTTCATCTCTGGTTAATTCCTAGGTATTTAATTTTATGTGTGGTTATTGTAAATGGGATTACTTTTTAATTTCTTTTTTACATTGTTCACTATTGCCATATAGAAATGAGACTGCTTTTTATATGTTGATTTTGTATCCTGAAACTTTACTGAATTTGTTTATCAGTTGTAATAGTTTTCCTGGGGAGTCTTTAGATTTTTTCACATATAAGACAGTATCATCAGCAAACAAGAATAATTTGACTTCTTCCTTTCCAATTTGGATGCCCTTTACATGTTTCTTGTCTGAGTGTTCTAGTTAGGATTTTCAGTGCTATGTTGAATAACAGTAGTGACAATAGGCATCCTATTGTTCATATCTTAGAGGAAAGTTTTTCATTTTTTCCTCATTCAGTATGATACTAACTGTGGGTCTGTCACATATGGCTTTTATGATGATAATTATTATTATGTTCCTTCTGTACACAATTTTTGAGGGGTTTTATCATGAAGGGATGTTGAACTTTATAAAAGGCTTTTTAGCATCAATTGAAATTATCATTTTTTTACCTAATTATTTTGGTATGATGTATCACATTGATTGATTGGCATATGTTGAACCATCCTTGCATCCCAGGAATAAATCCCATTTGGTCATGATGAATGATCCTTCTAATGTATTGCTGAATTCAGTTTGCTAGTATTTTGTTGAGCCAAAATTCATCAGAGATACTGGCTTGTAATTTTCTTTCTTTTTTCATTCTTTTTTTTTTATGTGTCTTTGTCTC
The DNA here is from genome assembly GCF_000001405.40 of Homo sapiens. Taxonomy (NCBI): domain Eukaryota; kingdom Metazoa; phylum Chordata; class Mammalia; order Primates; family Hominidae; genus Homo; species Homo sapiens. The sequence continues at coordinate 81,622,579 of NC_000010.11, forward strand.
ATTTTAGTAGCAGGATAATACTGGCCTCATAGAATGAGTTTGAAAGTATTTCAGCCTCCTCTGTTTTTCAGAATAGTTTGAGTAACATTGGTATTACTTCTTTAAATGTTTGGTAGAATTCAGCAATGAAGCCATAGGTTCTGGGCTTTTCTTTACTGTGAGACTTTTTATTATGGCTTTGATCTTGTTATTGGTCTTTTCAGGTTTGGGGTTTCTTCCTGGTTCACTCTGATAGCTTGTATGTATCTAGAAATTTGTCCATTTCTTCTATATTTTTCAATTCATTTGCATTTAGTTACTCATAGTAATACTTATGATCCTATGAATTTCTGCAGTATCAATTGTAATGTTTCCTTTTTCATTTCTGATTTTATTTATTTGGCTCTTCTCTCTTTTTCTCCTTAGTTTGGCTAAAGGTTTGTCAATTTTGTTTAACTTTTCAAAAAAAACTTGTTTTTTTTAATTCTATTTCACTTATTTCTGCTTTGATATTTATCATTTCTTTTTTCTACTTATTTTGGGTTTGGTTTGCTCTTCCTTTTCTAGTTCTTTAAGATGCATCATGCAATTGTTTATTTGAAGTTTTTCCTCTTTTTTGATGTAGGCATTTATAGCTATAAATTCCTCTGAGCACTGCCTTTGGTATCCCATAGTTTTTGGTGTGTTGTGTTTCTATTATCACTTGTTTCAAGAAATTTTTCATTTTCCTTCTTAATTTCTTTATTGACCCACTGGTCATTCAGGAGCATATTGTTTAATTTCCATGTATTTGAATAGCCTCTATAATTCTTCTTGTTATTAATTTCCAGTTTTATTCCTTTGTGGTCAGAGAATATGCTTGATATTATTTTAGTGTTTTTGAATGCTTTAAGGTTTGTTTTGTGACCTAACATATAGTCTGCCCTTAAGAATGATCCATGTGAAAGGAAAATATTGTATATTCTGCAGCTCTTGGATGAAATCTCTATTAGATTCATTTTGTCTGTAGTGCAGATTAAGTCTGATATTTCTGTGTTGATATTTTTTGTCTGGAAGATCTGTCCAAAACTGAAAGTGAGGTGTTAAAGTCTCCAGCTATTACTGTATAGGGGCCTACCTCTCTCTTTAGCTCTAATAAGTAGTGGAACTTTTTATTCTGCCATCTTTATCTGCCCTCTCCAGAAGAATTATTTTTAAAGAGACAGAAAATAGAAAATAACAGATGTTGGCAAGGATGCAGAAAAAAGGTTGTTCTTATTCACTATTTGTGGGAAGATAAATTAGTACAACGTCCTTGGAAAACAGTATGGAGATTTCTCAGAGAGCTAAAAGCAGACCTATTATTTCATCCAGCAATCCCACTACTAAGTATCTACCCAATGAAAAAAAAATCAGCATATCAAAAGATACCTGTACCCATATGTTTATCACAGCATTAGTCACAATAGCAAAGATATGGAATCAGTCTTATTGTCTATCAATGGATGATTGGATAAATAATATGTGCTATGTGTATGCCATCAAATACTACTCAGCTATAAAAAGAATAAAATCATGTCTTTTGCAGCATCATGAATGGAACTGGAGGCCATGATCTGAGTGAAACAAGCCAGGCACAGAAAGTCAAATATCACATTTTCTCACTAACAAGTATGTGCTAAAAAATGTGTACATGTGAGTGTAGACAGTAGAACAATAGAAAATGGAGACACAGAAGGGTGAGGAGGTGGAAGGGGGAATGGATGATGAGAAATTACCTAATAGGTACAATGTACCTTATTCAGGTGATGGACACTAAAAAGCCCTGACTTAACAATTTCACAATATTTGCATGCAACAAAATTGCACTTGTACCCCATCAATTTATACAAAAAATAAATAAAAACATGTTTTCAAAAATATAGAAAGTCTAGTACAAAGTTCTATCCCGGATATATTTTTGCGAGTACTTTCTCCCACAGCATGGCTTATCTTTTAATTTCCTTAGCTTCTTTTGAAGAGATAATTTTTAACTTTGATGATGTCTAATTTTTCTTTTTTCCTTTAATGCTTTATGACTTTCGTGTCTTATCTAATAAATCTTTGCCAAACCTATAGTGACAAATAATCTGTTCAATAATTTCTTCTAGAAATTGTATAGTTTAGTTTTTGTGTAGGACTACAGTTTTTTCTCAGTAAATTTTTAAAATATATGTTGTAAAGTTTGAGTTTATTTACATATAGATATGTGCTACACGGCACGGTGTATAAAAAGATTTTTCTTTACCTTTTGAATTACCTTGGAATATTTGTTTAAACCTAATTGGATATATAAAAGGAGGGTGAAGCAGAGAGAGAGAGAGAAAAAGAGAGAGAGAAAAAGAGAGAGAAACCACTATATCTCACTGACCTAAAATTTATTTTTATTCCAATATCATAGTACTTTGTTGACTGTAGTTTATTTAACTATAGCTTTGAAATTAGACATTTTGAGTCCTCTAGCTTTATACTTTTTAATTAATTAATTTAAATTGACAATAAATAACATGTACTTATTGTGTACCACATGACGTTTTGAAATATGTATACATATGGAATGCCTCTGGCTTTATTGTTTTTGAAAAATTGTCTTGCCAATTCTAGGACCTTTTGTATTTGTAATATCAATTAAATTTTGTATTTATAATGTCATTATAAAAATCAGTTTCTACCAGGAAAATAGATTGCTGTAACTTAGACTGGGGAATGCACTGAACCAGTAGATAACTTTGAAGAGAACTGATATCTTCACAATACTGAGTTTTCTGATCCATAAACAAGGTGAATGATTCAAGTTATTTAGGTCTTTAATTTTTTCAGCAATAACTGTTTGTATATAGATATACAAAAATTGTATGCATATTTGTCTTAAAACCTCTACAATTGCTAAGCTTGCTTATCTTAGACTAACTAGAAATCTATCAATTTCATTGATATCTTCAAAATCAACTTTTTGTTTGAATTGCTCTCTTCTTTTTCTCTGCTTTTCATTTTATTGATTGTTTTCTGCTTTGGGGATCACCTTAAAATGACAACTTAGACCATTCTTTGGAGAACGTTTCTTCTTTTCTATTAAAAACATTTAAAACTGTAAATTTCTCTGAAGCACTGTTTTAACATAATTTGATATATTTTCATTTTCATTCAGTTGTGATTTCTTTATCCAATACAAAGAAGAATGTGAAATAATTTCAAAATATTTGGGGTCTTCCTCCTATCTGGCATTGATTCCTAATTTAATTTTGTTTTAGTTAGAGTACATACCATGATTTACTTCAATACTTTACACTTTTTGAAATGTGTTTTATTATTCATCATATGCTCTCTTTTAATGAATGGTCCAAGTGCATATGAAAATAATATGCATTTTGCTATTGTGTGAGTGTTCTATAAATATGAATTAGGTCAAGTTGGTTTATAAAATTAAACCTTCTATATCCTTATTGATTTCCTATATTTTCTGTGTGTGCATGCAGTCTACTTTCCCCACTAGGTCACCTTCCAGTGACAGATCACCACCTTGTTCATATGCAATACCTGTTTCTTAGACTGGAGTTTCCAGGTTCTGTCATTATTTATCCCTCTAATATTTTCACCCTGCAAACCTGTGCTACTGTTGGTTTATGGTAGGTGACAGGTGCCTTCTCAGGTCTCCTGCTCTGCCCTGAATTGTTCATAAATATTTGGTGGTGGCCCATGGAAAAGACCCTTCTGGGACACACAGATTTTTTTAACTGTCATACTGCCTTCATTTGACCTTTAAGAATTTGTAAACATTTCAGTTGTTCTGTTTCTATTGCTTTGAAGGCTGCCACATCTCCTTCCATACTCTCTCTAAAATAAAAGAATTTGTCTTTTTAATCCTTGAAGGGACTTCTTACACTTTGGGATTCAGTCTACCCAGTTGCCTTAGAACATCAGCTCTCTGACAGGCTCAAAGTTATCACGTCCAACAGCTGGCTTTTCTTGTTCAGAGGCTTGAGAGTAATATTCTTGCAGTTTTCTTCATCCTAAGTGGAAGTAGAACATTGAATCAAATTTAAAAGTACTATTATGACTTCTTTGTAGATGAAGAATCTGTAATTGAGAAAGACTGAATGACTTGATTAAGGTCACACAGCTGAGAGGTGGCAGAACCTGGAGTCAGACAAAGTTCCAAAGTTCATATTAGACAATATTTGTGGATAAAATACTAAAAAATGTAAACAGCACTAATAAAACCATGACATTTTAGGCTGTTATGGCTATTAATAAAATCAACCATAATTGACAGCAATTTACAGTATCTAAAGTAATGTAAAACTCACCATATGATTATTCACAATGATACATAACAGTTGGATATTATTATCATCACTACTAACAAAAGGAAGAAAAAGGCTCAAAATGTTTAAACATACTCTCCATGGATATACACCAAATTTATAGTAGTTATAAGACTCAAACATGCCTTTTTAAAAGCTACCTCCTACTTGAAGGATCAAATACGCCTTTTTGACTTGCAAGCACATGCTGTATTACATTAGGAAAAATGTTATATACATGTAAATGAAGGTAATTGATTCTTTCCATTCTCTAGGTTCCTAGATCCTTCCCAACTGGACTCCAGATGAACAGAGACTCAAAATATCTCTGCTCTTACATTATTTATGGAGTAGAAATTCTACCTTCCTACATTTCCAACACAACGTTGTTGTAACTTCTTATGGCACATTCACTTAAACTTGGTATCTCTAAATTAAATTGACTCTTTAAAATGCATTTATTCTCTTGTCAAATGTGTTGACAATATAATATATTGCAATGACTAAAAGAATGACTGTAGGGGAAAATCTTGATTCAAGACCTTCCTAAATGTGCAAACTTAAATGTTCCTTTACATTTCTGACATTCTGTTTTATTATCTTTTAAACTTCTTATAAGATGAACTGCTTCATAGGATTGTTATTATTTTTGGATGAGCTTTATAGAACAAAACATGCTGTATTAGTGCTAATAAGTTAATATCTTTGTCTTTCTTTAACCATCTTCAAATGATAGGGTGGCAATTGCTGAGGTCAAAGAGGGGCTTAATTGATGCTGTCTTCATTCTCTCTAAATGATGATAAGCCTGAAAAGAGTTCTGTAAGTATCTGTGATCAAAACATTTTACCACTATTTAAAATGGCATCTGGATTTCTATTTTATATCTCTTCTTTCTTTTCTTTCTTGAAATACTCTCAATATTTTAGAATCTTTTATTCTTTATGCCTATCTTGTTCAGAAGAAAATGGGTTCAGATTAGGTTAAAAATATAATGTCTGCTAAAAATACAGATTTTGCAAATGTCTAGGTATGCAAGTCTCTCCTAAGAAAGCCAAGTTATTTAAAATGAAAGGAAGATTTCTTAGACTTGATGTTGAAATGAACAGGAAAACTTTTTATGCCAGTTAGAAAATGCCCTAAAGCTGTCTCCTAGCCTATTAGGTTCATGCTACTATGAAAATATTCTCATTCTTTATGGTTTCTGCTCACAGAATAAAAAAGATATACAGTGAAATAACAGAAGTAAAATGATTCAGGATTAGTTTAATTTTGACCTTAAAGATGGTCAGTGAGCTGATTCCTTTGCAGGCATGCCCACTCCATTGGATGAGAAGACACCAAGGCTTTGGATGCAATATATGCCTGACATCTGGAAAGCATGTTCAAATGAATAATAGTATGTCAAGGAAAAATGGCGGGTAATTTAATTAGTTAAAACACTATTCCTTAAGTTAAAGAGCTATGGGAATGTAAATTACAGCTTTGGCATATCTTAAAGTTCTTTGCCTGCACTTCTAAAAAGTGTTCTGTGAAAAAATTATTTGGGATATGTTGGCATTTGTGTTATAAAACAGTGGTCAAATAAGACAGGTAAATAAGACATACTTGATGTCTAACAAAAGCCTCTGAGTAATCCTAGAGTTAAAAAAAGTTAAATTATTTTAATCTCAGCATTTTATAACTGATATTAAGCAGTACACAAATTTTAAGTACTATACATATTCATACCAAAAGCATGAGGCCTTTTGATTGAAGTTTACTCGTTTTTGTGTTTTTAAAATAGAATAACAAAAAATCATGAGCTAACACCTTGAAGTTTACTTTGTCAAGGTTGAATCTGAATCATCATTACACATTTTAAGTCTTCGGTATTTATCATAAAGGAGCATGCTCTAGATACAGGTAGAAGAAATTGATAAACCTTAACTGCAGAGTTCACAAATCTGCAATGAACAATGTCATAGCCTTTCACTTTCCCTGCTCTGTGGAGGTAGTCTTCCCATAGCCTATTAAAACATCAGCTTTTGCATGGCAGCATAGGACTCCTAAATTCTTTAGAAATTATATAAGCGTATCTTTTCAATAATGAACATTCTGATATCTTTAGAAGACAAAATGATGACTCTCTGCCATTATATTAAACATAATAGATTTATCTTAATTTAAGCAAAATAACGTGTCTAAATAAAAATATAAACACAACATACAGGAAGCTTTGCTTGTTTTCTTCAACTCATAAAGTATTTCACAACATGCAAATTCAGGAAGCAAGAATAGCCGTTGCATGAAATATTATTTTGCTTTCTTTTTTCTAGTCAAAAAGGCAAAAGGAGTACAGATAACTAACCCCTCAGCTTGATGTCCCACTTAAATGATTCATTAGTAAATTAGAAAATTCTATTATTCCTGAAAATTGTTGTAGGGTAAAATCAAGACGTTTCTAAATATTTTCTTAACTATAGAACTTTTTCTTTGCAAAGAATAGACTAGTCCTCAAGTCTCTAAGCTGTGGAAGAACAGTTACGTAGAAAAGTTAGAGCACAGACACCAGTGAAGTGCAACTAACACAATTATACATAATATGAAAGCATTGGAAGTAACAGATTCTGGAAGTTGGGGATGAGTAGTTTCATATCTTTCCATTATCCGTGGAAAGTATCTCCTTATGTGGAGTCCTCATGGAAAGATCCCCTACAGAGGCAAGAGGTTCTCCTTACAAGTACAAAGGAAACTCAAGGCAACATTTGTTCTGAGCATATACACTACACACATGGACATGTAAGCCACATATAGAAAGTGACAAGCTTCTAATTAGGTAGTACAAAACTATATGGAATAAAGTATGCTGCTAGATATTCCCCCCAAGCCAAAATGTTTCCTCTTTCTAGGAACACAGATAGACGGTATTTCCCAGACTCTCTTTCAGTCAGCTAAAGTTTATGTAATATGAGCAGATGGTGCTATATGACACTTCCAGACCTGGCCATTAAAACTTTCCTGTGCTGCCTCACATTATTGCTCTCCGTGTTGACTGACAGCAGTCTAAAGAATCTAGGAATCCATGTGTTAAAGACAACAGAGCTACTCACAGCATGAAGTCTCAAATGAGTGTGTTGAATATAGTTTCTTCATCCTTCCCACTCTCCTGCCCAGAAAACTGCAACCACAATATACCTTGCTGAGGGAAATCAAAACATTTCTATTATGTTGACAAATTATACATTTGGATCTATTTGTTACTGCAGCCTATCCTTGCCTAACTAGCCCAACTCCTGCTATCTTCGTCTGGAATAGTAAAATTTAAACAATAACTTGCACCAGTTTAATGTATTTCAATGTATTAAAAAAAAGATATAAGAGAAAAAATCACTTGAAATCTAGGGGACTGTATTGGTATTATCTCCTTCATAAACTTCTCTATTGTGAGGGAAAAAATCGAGTACAATCTAATTACGCCCTTCATAAGCATTAAGAGGACATGAAACTTTGACTTTAGGAAAGCAATGGGGACAGAAAAACAAATGTCTTAGCCGGTCATATGAAATCTTACTAAAATTACCAAATAGAAACAATAATAGGGCAGAAAGTACATTATAACTGCAACTAGAAATTGGTGACATCTACAGAAATTATATAGTTTTTGGATTAACTATGGGAACTCCTCTGAACTGTAGCAGTGTTGCAAGAAAAGAAGTAAAAACCAGGCAAACACAGCGAATGCAGAATTAATTTTTGTTGTTAGTTCTGGAAAGCATAGACAAGCCATGAGAGAAGTAGGAGTTTCCTCCCCATGAAGCCATGAGACATATAGCAAATTCTCCACAGAGGATAATGGACTAGGTATAGTACCAAAGGAACAGGGTAATGATGACAATGACAACGACAACAATGATGATGATGATTCAGAGAAAAAAGTGTGAGAAAATATGGGCTTTCCACTCTTGATGAAGTAATTTAAAATGAGTAGAATTGTTAAAGTAAGGAAAAACATGAATTCATCAAAGAAAATTAAACGGTGTAACATTCAGAATATTGAATTTGTTATGTAAAGAAAAATTTAAGATGTTCTATAACAATGTAGAAGAAAAGTACAAGGACTTTAAACAAATTTCAGAGAAGTTGAAAAATGAGGAAGACAGATAATGGAGACAAAAAAGACAGAACTTTGTGTCTTTAAATTGGCAAATTAAAGAGCACTAGAAGATCTAGGCTCAAATTGACTTCTGCCTCAATCACCTACATTTTCACACACAAAGCAACAATATTGAGCAACGTACTTATCCTCTCTATACTTATCATCTCCTTTCAGATGATGCCCCAGTGTCATCATCTGAAAAATAGGTATAATATGAATCTCATTTGCATATAATTGCTGTGAATATTAAATATAATAATACATATAAAGTGGTTAAAGCACTCTAGCTGTTGGTTCAGGCTCAATGCATACTCAATTTTATATATTATATATTAAATGCAATATTTGAAATTAAAATATTAAAAACATTTAAAAATTCAGATGTTTTATCAAAGGATAATCTTATTACCTTTTGAATCTGAGGTTTGAAGAGGCTTTTGTTGTAAAGGGCAACATTAACAAAATGTGATCAGTAACTGGATCGATTGCATTCAAATTTTTGGACAAAAATTTGTCCAAAAAGTGAATTTGAATTATCTAACACTAAAATCAATAAACAGTAAAAACTGCCATTTCTATAAAGCATCATCATTTTTCTTACCAACCATATCACAGGTAATAAACAGAGTAATATCTGACTTTCAGAGCCTTCTACACCCTGTCCCAATTTTGGTTGATGATATTGTTATCAAATCTTAGTTAAATGAGAAGTAATAGAAGTGAGGTGGACATGCAAGAACTATGTATGCATGCAAGTGCACACATATGCAGGCAGACACACACACGCACAGAGAGAGACACACACACAGACACTATGTCCACCATGTCATAGAGACAGATGTCCAGTTTTCAATTTTGTACAATTGCTTGGCTCTTAAACCCTTGGGGATTAGAAGAGGGATTAAGCCTCTTCCATCAGAGGGTTCATCTGGCAGATTTTCTCTGTCTTTAAATATTTTGTATCTTAAATATTTACTTATGTAAGATTTTAGTTTTTTTCTTTATTTTTACAAAAGCTTGCAAAAGGTGTCCTGTCTTAATGTTAGTTAGAAGAGCTTTTTTTCCAAAACTTGTATAGCTAAGGGGAAATTTCAAAAGAATGACTCATAAAGTACTAACTCAATACATTTTATTTATTTTAGATTTGTCTGATACTCATATATTAGTACTCTGGTAAAACAAATGTTTAAAGTGAAAATTCCTAATAAATATTTAAGGAACTATTTTGATTAACTATTAGGTGTATGGGAAATTATACTCTCTCAGTATTGTCCTGTAAAGGATGGGTTGATTTTTAGAAGATGGAAAAGGTTAAACTAATGAATGATTCAGACAGTCTTTCATCCTACATTAGAAGTGAATTAATTTCTTTAAAAAACGAACGATCTTCTTCAGTTGTTAAATGTGTAAATTTCATTTCAACATGCACAGTTCTCAATCTATTTAAAGACTGATATTTCAGAGATGAAATATAAATTGCAGAAACTAATCAGGTTTAGAAATTCTGAGCTCTTGGTTGTGGTTACTGCTGTGACACACTAGCAAGAGCACATCTCAGCCTGATTATAAGATCAGAGGAAGAAATAGCATTTGGAGCAAATAGTTTCCACATAAATAGGAGATGTGATTTTGTTAGGAATTATGGAAAACAAGGTGAGAACTCTGAAAGATAATTCTTTGAACAGACTACTTGCGATCTTAAATAGAATGTCACATTTATCATATTTTAAAAGGGCTGATTATAGAATTGCAAAGAAGGTAGGATTTAACTTAACTATCTTACTCTTTTTTCAAAATTTTACAGATTTTATAATATAGTATACATTATTAAATATTTATTTCAGAGAAAACACAAGTGCTTTTATTAGTTCTGCTTTTGTGTTTTTTTTTATAGCCCGTTCCCTTGGGGTTTTTCGACTTGGTTGTATTAAAAAAAGCAGGCATGTTAATGTTTAGTAAATTTTTGTTAAGTGTCTTTTCATAGGTCTCCAAAGTCATAGGAACTGGAAATAATAATCATAATAATAAAAGTGAAAAAACAGCCTGTGCATTTATATTGCACTATATAATTGAAAAATTGTTTTCACTATTGTTATGACATTTAGTCTTAGTTAAACCTTAAGATAACACTATAAGGAAGATATTTCCCCATCCACAATTGAAGAAACTGAGACCCAGTACAACTGAATAACACTCACTGGAGAGGGCCAAAGCCAGGGAAAGAATCCCAACCTTTCTGAGGCTAAGAATTGAATTAATAAAATTCTACAATAGCTGTGCAATTAGGATAAAATAACAACAAGCAACAAAGGCATTTTGGTGAAAATAGATAAATTAATTCTTCATTGCCTTTTAATCCCTATTTGCCCCACCATGTTTAGTTTCAAGTTCTACCAAAGGAAATAAGAATATAGAGGTCACCTACCATCAATCAGACTTTGGAATGGACCATTTCAGAGTAACACTTTAAGAATATTACCATTCCCAAATCTGTAGGATTAGAGACATTTCTTTACTTACTCAAGTGCACAAAGCAATTAATAATAGAGCCAGTAGAACTTAAATCTATCTGATTATATCAGAACTTGTAATAGCCCTCACTCCAAGTAACATGTAGTTTTCTGGCATCTACCACATGCCAAAAATAACTGCTGTGTAGAAATGCCAGTATGATTATTCTCACTACCCCAACAGATAGCATCTTTTGAAAATAAATAATATCGACACTAAACCAAATCTGGTGGAGATTCTTCTTGAGTTTAAGAATTTAGATGGAGGATGCCAATCTGGATGGTCCAGCTATTTAATCCTCTTTAGTTCACTTTTTTAATAGTAAGAACTAAATAGGTTAGTTTTGAGCAAATGTTTGATAGTTTTGACAACTACTAAAAATTTCTCTGGTCTCTATCCAGTTCCAATATAATCACCATATATATAAAGTATAAGACTTAAAATGAAGAAAAAATAAACTGTGAATCACAATCTATCCTGCAAATATATTAGGTTCTTGACTTCTACATTTACAGAATATCCCCAAAATAGTAAATGTTTAAATTCAGAAAACTAATTTTTGAATTCTAGCTTCAGCTAGATATGACCTTAAGAAAGCTATTTAATCTCTCTATGATGTAGTTTCCACATTTTCAAAAGTGGATTAAAATTTCAGATATAAAAATCAATTTCCAGTGACCTCTTCAAGAAAGACCAACTATTGGTTAATTATGTAGAACCAATAATAAAAAAATTTCAAACTATGTAAGACAAGAGGAAATAAGTCAACTCAGAATTCTTACTCTAATAATAGAAATAACTTTGGGATAATTAACTTGCAGTAATACTATCAAACTGTCAAAACATATCCAGATCTATCTTATGAAATCTTACTCACTTATGATCTGGAGAAGGTAATTTCTTTTCAACTATGTACAGTCTGCCCCCTGTAAAATGAAGCAGATATAAAATGAGGGACTTGGTGAATTATATGGTTTTTTCCAAAATATAATAATTTTTTACACAAAGATCCTAATTTGCCTCTTATCAGTTTATCTAAACCCCTTAGAGGGATTTCTTTCCATTTACATCCTATTTTAAGTTGTTGTTTTCTTTCTTTAGAGATAGGGATCCCCTTCTTTCTCCCAGGCTAGAGTGCAGTGCCACAGTCACAACAAACTGCAGTCTCAGACTCCTGGGCTCAAGCCACCCACCCACCCCAGCCTCCCAAGTAGCTGGGACTACAGATGTACACCACCACACTAAGCTAATTTTTACAATTTCCAGTAAAAATGAGGTCTTACTATGTTGCCCAGGCTTGTTTAAACTCTTGGCCTCAAGCAATTCTCATACCTCTGCCTCCTAAAGTATTGAGATTACAGAAGCGAGCCATTGTGTCCAGCTCTCACCCAAAGTTAATAGTAGCTTACTTGATGTTACATAAACTAAATAGCCCAATGAGTTTAGAGTTAATGTGAAATAATTCATTATAGAATTTCCTTGTGATCAGTGCCTGAAAAGATTTTTATTAAATGATGAAATGCAATTAATTATTAAATGAGTATTTGATCTCACTAATTACCATAGAGATAGAGATAATCAATATGCAAAAGAAAAATAAAATTACTGCAGCTACCTTCTTATCAGAATGAACCATTTTGATTACCCCCAACTATCTTCTCCAATTAGCTCAACACTTTCAAGAAGTAGAACAATTTTCTCCCTTTGTATAACCAGAAAATTGGACCTATTATTATTTCATTACTGTACCATTAGTGACTGTCAAAATTTTTAGTTTAGCATAAAATAGTATGAATATAAATTCACTACTGAAGTTCCCAACTGCAGAGTAAATTCCTTTAACAGAGGGGTATTTAGAAAGGTGGGCAGAATTTCAATAAAATAAATAAAGCATAAGAAATATACAAATTCTCACTATTTTCCAAAAAAAAAGGAGAGTTCTTGATTGATCTCCAAAAAAAATGGACAAATTTATGAACAATAAATGCATGTGAACTAGAAATTGTCTTTCATTTAAGGGGAGCAATGTAACACTTACATAATAAATTATAAACTCTCTAATCTTTACAGCCTACAGTTAGGTTCTAGAATATAGGCTTTATGAGGTGGAGGTGATACAACATTTTTTTTTTTTTTGAGACGGAGTCTCGCTCTATCGCCCAGGCTGGAGTGCAGTGGCACAATCTTGGCTCACTGCAAGCTCTGCCTCCCGGGTTCACGCCATTCTCCTGCCTCAGCCTCCTGAGTAGCTGGGACTACAGGTGCCCACCACCACACCCGGCTAATTTTTTGTATTTTTAGTAGAGACGGGATTTCACCGTGTTAGCCAGGATAGTCTCGATCTCCTGATCTTGTGATCTGCCCACCTCGGCCTCCCAAAGTGCTGGGATTACAGGTGTGAGCCACCACGTCTGGCCAATACAACATTTTTTTTTAATCAACAGCTCCTAAGCTCAGCCAACAGTACAGACAAGTAATAAGACATGAATTCTTATTTATTGGTTTAGATTCTTTATTAGGTAGAGACTTAAATGATAACTGAATAAATGACTGAATGTGTATCCCACCCAAATGGACCAGGTTCCTCCGCAGATTCAAATGCTGAAGTGTCCATATTAAGATATACGGAAGAGAGTTCAGGGCCTCCTTCTGTTAGTGTTATGGGATTCTTACTCCTACTCACAACTGTTAGAGTCACCCTCTAAGAGTCAGAGTAACTTTTCCTTTCTTCTGTTTTCTGTAAAGGATAGAGTGAGGTTCCCTTTACTTGTTTTGGATTTCTCTTGGTTAATTCAGTCCTGGGTTTTCTTGTTCTCCCCACACACTACCCTGAAAATGGGCAAAAGTAGAAAGAAGATGACCCCATGCATCAGCTTGACTTCCTCACCCTTGAATATCTGGTATACAAGTACACTTCATACACAAGGATAGCAATGATTCCAATTTCTTTTTTTCTTATTATTATTTTGTGTAGAGACAGGGTCTTGCCCTATTGACCAGGCTGGAGTGCAGTGGCTATTCACTGACATGAATATAGCCCACTGCAGCCTCAAACTCCTGGCCTCATGCAATCCTCCCACCTCAGCCTCTCAAGTAGTTGGGACTACAGGTACGCGCCACCATGCTTGGCTGGCTCCACATTCAAATATGAAACTACTTTTAAAATAATTGTTAGTTTATGTTCTTATGAAACTACCAAATTCTGTGTCTCATGAGTGTCATGATGATATTTTTACATGAGTAACAAGAGTTCCCACTAAATTAGCCTTTCAAACATACTCTAGAAAGCAGCCACTTGCTGCTATAATATTCAGATGACCAGTTTATTTATTGAATCTAACATCAAAATAACACATTATAGCTTAAATAAGCAGAAGTTTGTTTCTTCCCCATACATCAGTACAAGCCTAAGAATCCAGGGCTGTCACTGCAGATCCAGGCTCCTTCTGGTTTGCTGTTCTGCCATCTTAAACATGTGGATTTCATCTCACAGTCTAAAATTGTTGCTTCAGTTCATGTCATCATAACATTCTTCCTAAACAGGGAACGGAGAGCAAGGCAAGTGAATTATATATATGTTCTTTAAAGGCAGGGCCAAGAAATGGTACTCACTGTGTATGCTCAAAGTCTTTTGGTAGAAACTTAACTGTATAGCCATATGTAACATCAGGAAATGGAGGGTAATGAAGTCTTCAGTTGAATGGTCATGTTCTATTGAAGGTTCTATTACAAAGGAAGAAGGGGAGAGAAAGTGAGTACTAATTGGCATTATCTGTCATAATCACCTTTTAATCTTTTAAGTAGGTTACCTTTTAATCTACCCCAGAGCAGGAAAAATGGGCAACAAGGGTCTTTGCCCTTTTATTATGATGAAGGTACAGAAAGTAATGCTGGAGTTTCTAATGTCATAGGTCAGTAATACAGCTTCCATACATTTCCACCCTTAGTAAGCAGTTTAGTACCCATAACCATGTGAGGGAATTATAAGATCACACCTGAATAAGTACATACTTATAAGTACATAATACACAACCGCCTAAAGTGTATCACTGAAAGTCATATTAAGTAAATAGTATCATAGTTTATGAATGGGGCATCTGGTCTCGTTGTCAAGGAGACTGAGTAATGAATACCACAGATTTCTTTTCCCTATCATATCTGATAGAATGCACCTCCCAGGCCTTCCTAGACCCCACATTAGCAGTAAGTTACAGATTCTCAGAGGTTTTCTCTATCACATCCTGAACAAGGTAAAAGACAGCTGGCTTTAGCTCTGTTTCAGCATCCATGGTTCCTACGCTACTTGCTTGTCGACAGTTTGTCCTAGTGTTACTCTGATACTGACAAGTCAAATTGATGGGTAGTTTAGATATCTAGGCATAGTTTTATCAAAATTATTGTAAGTGCTCATTTAGCCTGAAATAAATATTTAATTATCTTTCATGGAACAGGGCATGTGAATGAGAGAAGGCAGAAAATTAGGAAGAATCTGTTGCCATATTCTATCAGAAATTTATGTCCCACCTGTTTTCAGAAGTGTGGTGGAAGTGACACTTGTATGTTGTTGTAGCTATGTATGTCTTCCAGATGATACAGTACCTTAAGTATTCTCTCTTCTTGCATTTTCAAAACTCATCACAAACAAGATTATCTAAAGCAGCTGTTTTCTTAGGCTGTCTGGGGCTCCTAAAAAGCTTATATCCCAATCTGAGTAAAAAAATAAAGGGTGTAGTTTGAAATGGATGCACCACCCAGCTTAAATTAAACTACTAAATCCATAGGATATGCTATCCAGGAACCATACTATTAGTTTTAGGCTTTAGTACATTCTCTTTCTTTTTATCTTACTTCTAGTTCTATTCCTGGGACCCAGACTAAACTACAGGCATTTTCAGAAAACATAAGCTGGCTTGATGAATGTCAGTTCAGATTTCCTGAATGGCCATCAAACAAAGAAAGGGTAACCCAGGAGCAGAGACTATAAAATATACCACTTCCCTGGGATAGCAACAAAGGTTTATAAACCTCTGTAGAATCATCTATATGCCAGGAAGGCATAGGAGTCCCAGATAGCCAAGCCAGCTACATATTCTGCCCGTGCTATTATTTTTTTCTAAATAATTAATATATTTAATTATTTGCTGTTTTGACATACATGTAGAGAATTCTTCTAATATTTAGTCTTCCAGCGATTTGATGTGCCCTCCTCTAATGATCTTCTCTTTTACCCTATCTCAGGCACTAATTCCTTTAGTTACCTTAATAGCCAGCAACAGTAGTCACCAATGCCAGAAACCATGCACATGCCCTGTTCTCTTTCAACACCTTTCTCTAGTGACATGCAAATTCCACATGGGTGTTACAAAACCAGAAGGAAGGGCAAAGGCAACACGGAAATAGTGACTTAGAACTGAGTAGTAAATGAGAAAATAGTACTTAATATTTTTTATTATACTTTAAATTCTAGGGTACATGCGCACAATGTGCAGGTTTGTTACATAGGTATACATGTGCCATATTGGTTTGCTGCACCCATCAACTCGTCATTTACATTAGGTATTTCTCCTAATGCTATCCCTCCCCTAGCCCCCCAGCCCCCGACACGGTGTGACGTTCACCACCCTGTGTCCATGTGTTCTCACTGTTCAATTCCCACCTAAGAGTGAGAACATGCAGTGTTTGCTTTTCTGTCCTTGTGATAGTTTACTGAGAATGATGGTTTCCAGCTTCATCCATGTCCCTGCAAAGGACATGAACTCCTCCTTTTTTATGGCTGCATAGTATTCCATGATGTATATGTGCCATATTTTCTTAATCTAGTCTATCATTGATGGACATTTGGGTTGGTTCCAAGTCTTTGCTACTGTGAATAGTGCCACAATAAACATACGTGTGTGTGTGTGTGTCTTTATAGTAGAATGATTTATAATCCTCTGGGTATATACCCAGTAATGGGATGGCTGGGTCAAATGGTATTTCTAGTTCTAGATCCTTGAGGAATCTCCACACTGTCTTCCACAATGGTTGAACTAATTTACACTCCCACCACCAGTGTAAAAGTGTTCCTATTTCTCCACATCCTCTCCAGAATCTGTTGTTTCCTGACTTCTTAATGATCACCATTTTAACTGTCATGAGATGGTATCTCATTGTGGTTTTGATTTGCATTTCCCTGATGACCAGTGATGATGAGCATTTTTTCATGTGTCTGTAGGCTGCATAAATGTCTTCTTTTGAGAAGTGTTGGTTCATATCCTTTGCCATTTTTTATGGGGTTGTTTTTTCTTGTAAATTTGTTTAAGTTCTTTGTAGATTCTGGATATTAGCCCTTTGTCAGATGGGTAGATTGCAAAAATTTTCTCCCATTCTGTAGGTTGCCTGTTCACTCTGATGATAGTTTCTTTTGCAGTGCAGAAGCTCTTTAGTTTAATTAGATTTCATTTACCTATTTTGGCTTTTGTTGCCATTGCTTTTGGTGTTTTAGTCATGAAGTCTTTGCCCATGGTGCCTATGTCCTGAATGGTATTGTCTAGGTTTTCTTCTAGGGTTTTTATGGTTTTAGGTCTTACATTTAAGTCTTTAAGCAATCTTGAGTTAATTTTTGTGTAAGGTGTAAGGAAGGGATCCAGTTTCAGCTTTCTACATATGGCTAGCCAGTTTTCTTTATTAAACAGGGAATCCTTTACCCATTTCTTGTTTTGTCAGCTTTGTCAAAGATCAGATGGTTGTGGATGTGTGGTGCTATTTCTGAGGCCTCTGTTCTGTTCCATTGGTCTATATATCTGTTGTGGTACCAGTACCATGCTGTTTTGGTTACTGTAGCCTTGTAGTATAGTTTGAAGTCAGGTAGCATGATGCCTCCAGCTTTCTTCTTTTTGCTTAGGATTGTCTTGACAATGTGGGCTCTTTTTTGGTTCCATATGAACTTTAAAGTAGTTTTTTCCAACTGTGTGAAGAGAGTCATTGATAGCTTGATGGCAATGGCATTGAATCTATAAATTACCTTGGGCAGTATGGCCATTTTCATGATATTGATTCTTCCTACCCATGAGCATGGAATGTTCTTCCATTTGTTTGTGTCCTCTTTTATTTCATTGAGCAGTGGTTTGTAGTTCTCCTTGAAGAGGTCCTTCACATCCCTTGTAAGTTGTATTCCTAGGTATTTCATTCTCTTTGTAGCAGTTGTGAATGGGACTTCACTCATGATTTGGCTCTCTGTTTATCTGTTATTGGTGTATAGGAATTCTTGTGATTTTTGCACATTGATTTTGTATCCTGAGACTGCTGAAGTTGCTTATCAGCTTAAGGAGATTTTGGGCTGAGATAATGGGGTTTTATAAATATACAATCATGTCATCTGCAAACAGGAACAATTTGACTTCCTCTTTTCCTACTTGAATACCCTTTATTTCCTTCTCCTGCCTGATTGCCCTGGCCAGAACTTCCAACACTGTGTGGAATAGGAGTGGTGAGAGAGGGCATCCCTGTCGTGCCAGTTTTCAAAGGGAATGCTTCCAGTTTTTGCCCATTCAGTATGATATTGGCTGTGGGTTTGTCATAGATAGCTCTTATTATTTTGAGATACGTCCCATCAATACCTAATTTATTGAGAGTTTTTAGCGTGAAGGGCTGTCGAATTTTGTCCAAGGCCTTTTCTGCATCTATTGAGATAATCATGTAGTTTTTGTCAATGGTTCTGTTTATGTGATGGATTACATTTATTAATTTTCGTATGTTGAACCAGCGTTGCTTCCCAGGGATAAAGCCGACTTGATTGTGGTGGATAAGTTTTTGACGTACTGCTGGATTCAGGTTGCCAGTATTTTATTGAGGATTTTCACATCGATGTTCACCAGGAATTTTGGTGCAAAATTTTCTCTTTTTTTGTTGTGTCTCTGCGAGGTTTTGGTATCAGGATAATGCTGGCCTCATAAAATGAGTTAGAGAGGATTCCCTCTTTTTGTATTGATTGAAATAGTTTCAGAAGGAATGGCACCAACTCCTCTTTTTACCTCTGGTGGAATTGGGCTATGAATCCATCTGGTCTTGAACTTTTTTTGGTTGGTAGGCTATTAATTATTGCCTCAATTTCAGAACCTGTTATTGATCTATTCAGAGATTCCACTTCTTCCTGGTTTAGTCTTGGGAGGATGTATGTTTCGAGGAATTTATCCATTTCTTCTAGATTTTCTAGTTTATTTGCCTAGAGGTGTTTATAGTATTCTCTGATGGTAGTTTGTATTTCTTTGGGATTGGCAGTGACATCCCCTTTATCATTTTTTATTGCGCCTATTTGATTCTTCTCTCTCTTCTTCTTTATTAGTCTTGCTAGCAGTCTATCTATTTTGTTGATCTTTTCAAAAACCAGCTCCTGGATTCATTGATTTTTTGAAGGTTTTTTTGTGTCTATCTCCTTCAGTTCTGCTCTGATCTTAGTTATTTCTTGCCTTGTGCTACCTTTGAATGTGTTTGCTCTTGCTTCTCTAGTTCTTTTAATTGTGATATTAGGGTGTTGATTTTAGATCTTTCCTGCTTTCTCTTGTGGGCATTTAGTGCTATGAATTTTCCTCTACACACTGTTTTAAATGTGTCCCAGAGATTCTGGTATGTTGTGTCTTTTTCTCATTGGTTTCAAAGAACATCTTCATTTCTGCCTTCATTTTGTTATGTACCCAGTAGTCATTCAGGAGCAGGTTGTTCAGTTTCCATGTAGGTGAGTGGTTTTGAGTGAGTTTCTTAATCCTGAGTTCTAATTTGATTGCACTGTGGTCTGAGAGATAGTTTGTTGTGATTTCAGTTCTTTTACATTTACTGAGGAGTGTTTTACTTCCAATTATGTGATCAATTTTAGAATAAGTGCAATATGGTGCTGAGAAGAATGTCTATTCTGTTGATTTGGGGTGGAGAATTCTGTAGAAGTCTATTAGGTCCACTTGGTGCAGAGCTGAGCTCAAGTCCTGGATATCCTTGTTAACCTTCTGTCTCTTTGATCTGTCTAATTGACAGTGGGGTGTTAATGTCTCCCATTATTATTGCGTGGGAGTCTAATTCTCTTTGTAGGTCTCTACGGAATTGCTTTATAAATCTGGGTGCTCCTGTATTGGGTGCATATATATTTAGGATAGTTAGCTCTTCTTGTTGAATTGATCCCTTTACCATTATGTAATGGCCTTCTTTGTCTCTTTTGATCTTTTTCAGTTTAAAGTCTGTTTTATCAGAGACAAGGATTGCAAACTCTACTTTTTTTTTTTTTTTTTTTGCTTTCCATTTGCATGGTAGATCTTCCTCCATCCTGTTATTTTGAGCCTCTGTGTGTCTCTGTATGTGAGATGGGTCTCTTGAATACAGCACACTGATGGGTCTTGATTCTTTATCCAATTTGCCAGTCCATGTCTTTTAATTGGGGCCTTTAGCCTATCTACATTTAAGGTTAATATTGTTATGTGTGAATTTGATCCTGTCATTATGATGTTAGCTGGTTATTTGGCCCGTGAATTGATGCAGTTTCTTCATAGCATCAATGATCTTTGCAATTTGGCATGTTTTTGCAGTAGCTGGTACTGGCTGATCCTTTCCATGTTTAGTGCTTCCTTCAGGAGCTCTTGTAAGGCAGGCCTGGTGGCAAAATCTCTCAGCATTTGCTTGTCTGTAAAGGATTTTATTTCTCTTTCACTTATGAAGCTTAGTTTGGCTGGATATGAAATTCTGGGTAGAAAATTCTGTTCTTCAACAATGTTGAATATTGGCCCCCATTCTCTTCTGGCTTGTAGGGTTTCTGCTGAGAGATCCGCTGTTAGTCTGATGTGCTTCCCTTTGTGGGTAACATGACCTTTCTCTCTGGCTGCCCTTGACATTTTTTCTTTCATTTCACCCTTGGTGCATCTGACAATTGTGTTTTGGGGTCGCTCTTCTCCAGGAGTATCTTTGCGGTGTTCTCTGTATTTCCTGAATTTGAATGTTGGCCTGCCTTGCTAGGTTGGGGAATTTCTCCTGGATAATATCCTAAAGAGCGTTTTCTAAGTTGGTTTCATTCTCCCCGTCTCTTTCAGGTACACCAGTCAAAGGTAGATTTGATCTTTTCACTTATTCCCATATTTCTCAGAGGCTGTCTTTGTTTCTTTTTACTGTTTTGCCTCTAATTTTGTCTTCTTGCCTTATTTCATTAATTCGATCTTCAATGATGTCTTTTCTTCTACTTGATTGAATAAGCTATTGAAGCTTGTGCATGCATCACGAAGTTCTCATGCTATGGTTTTCAGCTCCATCAGGTCATTTGAAGTCTTCTCTACACTGTTTCTTCTACTTAGCCATTTGTCTAATCTTTTATCAAGGTTTTAACTTCCTTGCAATGGGTTAGAACATGCTCCTTCACCTTGGAGAAGTTTGTTATTACTGACCTTCTGAAGCCTACTTCTGTCAACTCATCAAACTCATTCTCTGTCCAGTTTTGTCCCCTTGCTTGCAAGCATCTGCGATCCTTTAGAGGAGAAGAGGTGCTCTGGTTTTTGGAATTTTCGCCTTTTCTGCTCTGGTTTCTCTCCATCTTTGTGGTCTTATCTACCTTTGGCCTTTGATGTTGGTGACCTACTGATGGGGTTTTGGTGTGGATGTCCTTTTTGTTGATGTTGAGGCTATTCCTTTCCGTTTGTTAGTTTTCCTTCTAACAGTCAGGCCCCTCAGCTGCAGGTCTGTTGGAGTTTGCTGGAGGTTCACTCCAGACCCTGTTTGCCTGGGTATCACCAGTGGAGGCTGCAGAGCAGCAAATTTTGCAGAACAGCAAATATTGCTGCCTGATCCTTCCTCTGGAAGCTTCATCCCAGAGGGGCACCCACCTCTATGAGGTGTCTATCAGCCCCTGCTGGGAGGTATTGCCCAGTCAGGCTACACGGGGGTCAGGGACCCATTTGAGGAGGCAGTCTGTCTGTTCTCAGAGCTCAGACGCAGTGCTGGGAGAAGCACTGCTCTTTTCAGAGCTGTCAGACAGGGACATTTAAGTCTGCAGAAGTTGTCTGCTGACTTTTGTTTAGCTATGCCCTGCCAACAGACGTGTAGTCTATAGAGGCAGTAGGCCTTGCTGAGCTGCAGTGGGCTCTGCCCAGTTCGAGCTTCCTGGCCACTTTGTTTACCTACTCAAGCCTCAGCAATGGCAGATGCCCCACTCCCCCGCCAGGCTGCAGCCTTGCAGGTCATCTCAGACTGCTGCGCTAGCAGTGAGCAAGGCTCCGTAGGCATGGGACCAGCCCAGCCAGGCATGGGAGGGAATCTCCTAGTCTGCCGGTTGCTAAGACTGTGGGAAAAGTGCAGTATTTGGGTGGAAGTTTACCATTTTTCCAGGTACAGTCTGTCACGGCTTCCATTGGCAAGGAAAGGGAAATCCCCCAACCCCTTGTGTTTCCCAGGTGAGGTGATGCCCCACATTGCTTCAGCTCACCCTCCATAGGCTGAATCCACTGTCCAACCAGTCCTAATGAGACGAATCAGGTACCTCAGTTAGAAATGCAGAAATCACCCATCTTCTGTGTTAATCTTGCTAAGGCTGCAGACTGGAGCTGTTCCTATTCGGCCATCTTGGAAGCAACTCAATAGTACTTAATTTTTTAGGAAAAAAGAAAAAAGCAACTGACTGAGACTAATATAACTGAAGGTGTTGACATTAAAGTTTTCACTGCCATGTAGAAATGAAAACTCGTGAAAAAAATTGAACTCTGTTAGAAAAATAGTTTCTCTTGATTACACACCTGTTTTGTGATTATTTTTCATGTTATGAATTATATCATCTAAATTAGCTAATTGGACCAAACAATCCATATTCCTAACTACTTTTCCTGTCAGCTCATGATGACTAACAGTAGGTGGCATTCTCTCAAACTGGAAAAAAAAGAGGAAGAACAACAACAAAAAAGAAATCCTAATGGACTAATGCAGGCATTATTCATCATTAGCCATCAGTATGTATGACAATTCAGTCCTTGAACCTGACATTATATCATCAAGTCCCTACAAACCACACAGGGAATCCTGAAATCAGGGCAGAAGTTGTGGGTTCAATATGTGTCCAGTCCAATTATCCACAGATAATCAATTTTTTTCCAAATTAATTTATCCAAATCGAGAATCCTCATAGAATCTGAGACTTAGATATAATGTCATTTAGTAATTGTTCTTTAATCTAGCCCATAAATCATTGTTCTCTGATAGAGCATTTCTCACAGATGGTCCCAGAGATATGGGGTCCTTTGGAACTATGCATTATTCTCCTCTTTCATGATGCTCATTTCCCCTTATGTTTCAATGATTTTAGTTTCTCACTTCTTGTCATTCTTGCTGTTAGTACTTCTGCCTTAATTCTTTGGAATTTCAAAGTACATGGAAATGATACTTTCAGTATCTTCACCTGCCACTTCCTTAACATCCTTTCCTCCAATGCTCTTGCTTCCCACCACAGCTCAGCCACTCGTTCCTATGGTCATACATCTTAGGCCTTACAACCATCAATACCTGATACCCTTCTATTATCTTCAACACATGTGTTGTCCTCTGAGTGCTCTTAGAAAGCACTGCCTCTCCTCTTTCTAACTCACTCACTCTAGTCATTGACTTACAACTATCCTTGACCTACAGTTGCCCCCAATTCATTAATCCTATAAAATTTAACTGTCCTTTATACTTTCACATCCTTTCCCCTCTCCTTTCCTAAATAAATTGAATAGTCAATTATAATTACTATGTTGCATACACATAATTCTCTGCCCCTATCTCACTTTATGGTATTTATCTGGTAAAATTATAATCCTGTTCTATCTGTGCCTATGTTCATAAAGAGGTAGGTAGTTGGAACAAAACACAAAACCTAGCTAATGGCCTCATTAAATACATGACCATGGGTCTCAAATCAACACCTAACAATGCTCAACAACTGTACTCCACTTAGACTACCTATTAGCTCTCTTTTCTTTATTAAGTGACTTTTTATGATCCTCCTCTCTCACAGAAAATCCCAATACCTCCTCCTCCTCTCACATTCTTATTCTCAGTTAACCTTGTCACCTAATTCGTTGAAAATACTGAGGCTTTTACAGACTCCCATCCCCACATCTACCTACTTACTTGAATCTAGATTCACTTACTCTGCATTTTCACCTTTTACCAACAATTGATTATCCATGTTCCCATATAAAGTAAACTCTTCAACTTTTGCAATAGGGCCATCTTTTCTCACTCATAATCAAGGCCATCACTCCAACATTTCTCTTCCTTCTTTCTCTCTCACATCATCAATTGTCCTTTTCTTTATCAGGTCATTCCATCAGAAATATATGGGATATATATTCCCATATATATTTATATGGAAATTCAGAAAGAAAAGAAAACAAACAAATGAAAATCACCCAATCCTCTCTTGACTTGCCAGCTATTACTCCATGCCTTTGCTCCCTGTGCAGGAAACTACCTAAATCTGTTATCTGTATCATTGTTTCAAATGCCTCTTCTCCGTTTCTTTGCTACTACTGTGATTATGTTCTTGCCATTCCCTGCCTGATATGCTACAAAAATACTTTTATCAAGGTCACCAGATGACAATTGCATTATTAAATCTAATGCTCCATTTTCAGTTCTCAATTTACTTGATTTCTCATCAGTTTTTGACTGGGTTCATCCTTCCCTTCTCCTTAATACACTTTCTCCATGTGGCTTCTCAGATAGAATGGATATAATGCATATTTTGCATCTTTTCTAGCTCAACCGTCACTTTTCATTTTCCTTTGTTAGGCCCCTCTCTTCTACCTTAACTCTTGATGTGGAATACCCCAGGCTCAGTCCTTTGTCCTCTTCACTTACCCATCGATGTTATCTCCTTGGAGATCTTAGCCAGTCTCATGACATAAAACCCATCTGTGGCTGGGCACAGTGGCTCATGCCTATAATCTCAGCACTTTGGGAGGCTGAAGGAGACAGATCACAAGGTCAGGAGTTCGAGACCAGCCTGGCCAACATGGCAAAACCCTGTCTCTACTAAACATACAAAAATTAGCCAGGCATGGTGGCGGGTACCTGTAATCCCAGCTACTCAGGAGGCTGAGGCAGGAAAATCGCTTGAACCCAGGAGGCAGATGTTGCAGTGAGCCGAGATCCTGCCATTGCACTCCAGCCTTGGTGACAAGAGCAAGACTGTCTGAAAAAAAAAGCAAAAACAAACAAACAAACAAAAAACCCATCTGTAATTCAGAATTCCTTTTATGTTTTCAGATCTAGCTTCTGAAACTCAGACTCTCATATTAAAGTGTGTCTACTGAACATCTCCACTTGTGAGTCTGTTGAGCATGTCAAACGTAACACATCCAAAATTAAACTCTTTATCTTTTACCCAAAATTCCTTCTGCAGCCTTTTTCATCCTAGCAGAAATCTTGGCATCATTCTTATCTCCTCTCTGTCTCTCACACCCCATGTCAGATCTGGAAGAAAATACTGTAAGCTCTACATTCAAAATATACACGCTAAATAGTGATCATATACTACCTTCACCACTTTCGCTTTGGACAAGTTACCAATATCTCTCACCTGGATCCTTGCAATATCTTTCTACCTTGCCTCCCTTGTTCTGTTTTTGCCCCTTCATGTGCCCAATAACTAGTCTCAAAGGGCAGCAGAATATACTTTCAAATCAAAAGTCATATGATGCCACCCCTCAACTCAAAATTCTCAATAAATTCTCATTTCATTTAGAACAAAATTAAAATGGACCTCAAAGACTTCTGGGAGATGATCCTGCATCACCTTGTTGGCAACTTCTCCCTATTTTCCTTCATGCTGGACTCCCTTTGTTTCTTAGATATTCCAGGTATGCTTTAACCTTGGGGTCCTTACACTGGCTGCCCTACAGTTGGAGAACTCTTCACCTTCGCCTCCTTCAAAGATTTACTCAAGTCCCATATTCTCAAATAGGCCCAACCTGACTACTTTATGCAAAATTTCTTCCTTAGCCTCTGCAATACATACACATCCTATCCTGTCCTACTTTTTCCCTCCCGTATCAATTTACTCACATCCTGCCAGAGGTATGACTTTTAAACAATCTACATAATAATTATGCTTTTTTCTCTTCCCATTGGAATATAAGTTCTATAAAGGCAAGGATCTTTGCCTGTTTGGTATATTGATCCCTTCTAACCAACTAGGAAAAACTGTCCAGCTTATAGTAAGTGCTCAATAAATATTTTATAAATGTATGAGTAGTTAAAAAAACAAGAAAATATCTTAATTCTAGTTCATGGATTCCCTTTTAATTTTTAATTTCCTTTTCTTGGACATTAGGAAATGATTAAAATAAAAGTTATCTCAATTTTTTCCATAGCTAAATTAATCAGGACACATGCTGTAGAAAAGTGGCAAAAATACAACTCAAATAAACTTGAACTTAAAAAAATACATATATTGGCCACTGTAAGTGGGAAGCTTCTGGAGGAGGTGTAGGAAGTGGTTTCAAACAAATCTCCATCCAGTGTTTCAAATAAAGTTACTAAGTTTCTCTTTTACTCTCAATTGCTTGAATCTGTTTCCTTCTAAAGGCTGACCTGCTTCTTTCCTAGGACATATGGGCTTCCTTCATGTGTCCAGAGAAGTTGGCTCTGAAAGCCCCAAATTCACATCCTGCCAGCATTATGTCTCCCAGGCAGGAAATAGCCTTCCCATTAGCACTTTCAGAAATGTCTTGCAAAGGGCTCTGGTTCACCAAATGAGAATTGCTGCTTACCTGTGGGTTGGTGGTAGTACACCACAACTCATAACTGTGCCAGGAATATAGATTTAGAGAGAAGGGATGCCAAATAAATAACATATTACTTTACATCATATGTCTTTCCCTTTTCTTCCTACTCTGATGGTACAAATCTGTTTAGAAGACATGTGTAGGGACAAAGACAAGAAAGGAGGATTCACTGGAATTCATAACTTTCAGGACAATGTCTGGGAACAGTGGAACTTCTATGACTAATGTTTATAAATTCCAGGTTAAGTATACTTTATTCCATTTTAATCTTAATAAATATTTTTAAAATAATGGTTAGTTTTATAGAAATTAATGAATAAAATAATATTTTTAAGGCAATTAGGGTTTAGCTATTTACATTATAATTTCAATTAGCTGTTCATATGTTTTTATTTATCCATTAAATCATTAATTTATGTGATCATCAGATAAAGAACATTTTTCTTGCCTACTACATATAATAGTAGGAACTATGCAAGTACTGGAAATGCAAATATTAATAAAGTATGTATAATATAACTGAACATAAATACCTGGATACATTTGAAAACTTCACTTATGTAAGCAGTGTGCTAAAGTCGTGATGATAGTAGATAGAACATGTATTTAGAAATCTCGTTTATGCTTCCTAAAAATTATCATAAGTTACATTTATAGACAGCTAACTCTGCGCCAGTCACTCTGTTTAGCATGTTATAAATTATTTCATTTAATCCTTACAATCCTATGTGGAGGTACTATTATTACCTCTGTGTTACAGTTGGAAACTGATAAAAACCTAGGAAGCTGAGCTATAGGTCTCAAGGTTAGGAAGAAGTGAAGTTAGGACTTGAATATAGCAACATTATTTCAGAGGTAAAATTTTTCAACAACTCTGCATTATCTTAGCAATGTTCTTTTATTTTTTTTTGAGACAGAGTGTCTCTCTGTAGTCCAAGCTGGAGTGCAGTGGCAAGATCTTGGCTCAATGCAACCTTTGTCTCCTGGGCTCAAGTGATGATCCTGCTACCCCAGCCTCCCAAGTAGCTGGGACCACAGGAGCACACCACCACACCTGGCTAATTTTTGTATTTTTAGTAGAGATGGAGTTTTGCTATGTTGGCCTAACTCCTGACCTCAAGATATCTGCTGGCCTCAGCCTCCCAAAGTGTTGGGGTCACAGGCATAAGCCAATGTGCCCAGCCTATTTTTTCTTTTTTAATAAATAAAAATTGTACATATTTATCATGTATATCATGATGTCTCAAAATGTGTATAAATGTGGAATGGTTAAATAAAGCTATATAACATAAGCATTATCTCACAACTTATCAATTTTTGTGGTAAGGACACTTAAAACATACTCTCAGAGCAGCTTTCAATAATACATTGTTTTAACTATAGTCACTATATTCTACAATAGATCCCTTGAACTTCTTCCTCCTATTTGAAATTTTGTATGTTTTGACCAACATCTCTCTAACCCCACAACCCTCAGCCACTGTTAACCACCATTCTGTGAGTTCAAGTTTTTAAAATTCTACATATGCATGAGATCATGCAGTATTTGTCTTTCGGTGCCTGACCTATTTAACTTAACATAATGTATTCCAAGCTTATCCACGTTGTTGCAAATGACAAAATTTTCTTCCTTTGTAAAGCTGAATAGTATTTTATTGTATATTCATACCACAGTTTCTTTATCCACTGACACTTAAGTTGATTCCATATCTTGGCTATTCTAAATAGTGCTGCAATAAACATGAGGGTGCAGATGTCTCTTTAGTACACTGATTTTATTTCCTTTGGATATATACCCAGTATTGAGATTGCTAGATCATATGGTAGTTCTATTTTTAATTTTTTGAGGAACTTCCCATGCTTTTTTCCATAGTGGCTCTACTAATTTTCATTCCCACCAACAGTGTGCAAGAGTTCCCTTTACTCCACATTCTAACCCACACTTTTTGTCTTTTTGATAATAGCTACTCCAACACATGTGAGATGATATCTCATTGTGATTTTAACGTGCATTTCTCTGACAATTAGTGATATTGAGCACTTTTTATGCCTCTTGGCCAACTGCATGCCTTCTTTTGAGAAATGTTCATTCAGCTCCTCTGTACATTTTTTAAAAGGGCTGTTTTCTTGCTATTGAGTTGTTTAAGTTCTTTACATCTTTTAAATATGAACTTTTTATAAGATGCATGGCTTACCAATACTTTCTCCCACTCTGTAGGTTGTCTCTTCAATCTGTTGATTGCTTCCTTTCCTATGCAGAAGGCTTTTAGTTTGATGTAAGCCCATTTGTCTATTTTTGCTTTTGGTCTCTCTGCTTTTGAGGTCATATTAAAAAAATAATAATTGCCCAGACCAATGTCCTAGTTTATTTTCCCTATGTTTCCTTCTAAAAGTTTTACATTTTTAGGTATTACATTTGGTCTTTAATGCATTTTTAGTTCATTTTTTAATATAATGTGAGATAAGGGTCTAATTTTATTCTTCTGTGGGGTGAAATGCAACACTATTTATTGAACAGACTCTCTTTTTCCCATTATGTGTTGTTGGCCATTTGTTGAATGTTAAAAATCAATTGACCATAAATGTGAGAATTTATTTTAGGCATCACTATTCTGTTCCATTAGTCTATGTTTCTGTTTTTAGGCCAGTACCTTGCTATTTTGATTACTATAGTTTTGTCATATGTTTTAAAGTCAGGTAGATACTTCCAGCTTTATTATTTTTGTTCAAGATTGCTTTGGCTGTCTGGGGTCTTTTGTGATTCCATGCGAATTTTAGGATTGTTTCTTCTACATCTGCAAAAAATATCATTCGAACTTTGATGAGGATTGCATTGAAAATGAAGATGACTTTGGGTAATTTGAACCCTTGAACAATATTAATTCTCCCAATCCTTGATCATAGGATATCTTTTCATTTATTTCTGTCTTCTTAAAATTTTTGATCATTGTTTTATAGTTTTCCATGTACAGGTCTTTTACTTTGTTAAATTTATTCCTAAATATTTTATTTTTATATAGTTATTGTAAATGGAATTTTCTTTATTTTTAAAATAGTTCAGTGTTAGTGTATAGAAAATATTGATTTTTATGTAAATTTTGTATCTTGTTACTTTACAGAATTAGTTTATTAGTTCTAACACTTTTAGTGGAGTATTTACAGTTTTCTATAAATATGATAATGTCATCTGCAAAGAGAAACAATTTAACTTCTTCCTTTCCAATCTGGAGGACTTTTCTTTCTTTCTTTTCACTAACTGCTCTGGCTAGAACTTCTAGTACTATGTTGAATAAACTGGGAAAGTGGGCATCTTTGTCTTGTTTCTAATCTTCGAGGAAAAGCTTTCATCTTTTCATCTTTGAGTATGATGTTAGCTTTGGGTTTGTCATATATAATCTTTATTGTGTTGAGGCACATTTCTTCTAAACTGAACTTATTGGAAGTTTTTATCATGAAAGTATTTTGTATTTTGTCAAATGCTTTTTCTGCACCTATTGAGATGATCATATTTTTTTCTTTATTCTCATAATGGGTACACCACATTTGTAGATTTGTGTATGTTGGATGGAATCTTCTACATATGATTCTTAGTTCTACTTATTCTAAAGTGTAGTTTAAATCCCATATTTCAAAATCTCTCAGCACTTGCTTGTCTGTAAAGGATTTTATTTCTCCTTCACTTATGAAGCTTAGTTTGGCTGGATATAAAATTCTGGGTTGAAAATTCTTTTCTTTAAGAATGTTGAATATTGGCCCCCACTCTCTTCTGGCTTGTAGCATTTCTGCCGAGAGATCCGCTATTAGTCTGAAGGGCTTCCCCTTTTGGGTAACCTGACCTTTCTTTCTGGCTGCCCTTAACATTTTTTCCTGCATTTCAATTTTGGTGAATCTGACAATTATGTGTCTTGGAGTTGCTCTTCTCGAGGAGTATCTTTGTGGCATTCTCTGTATTTCCTGAATTTGAATGTTGGCCTGCCTCGCTAGGTTGGGAAAGTTCTGGATAATATCCTGAAGAGTGTTTTCCAACTTGGTTCCATTCTCCCCATCACTTTCAGATACACCAACCTGATGTAGATTTGGTCTTTTCACATAGTCCCATATTTCTTGGAGGCTTTGTTCATTTCTTTTTATTCTTTTTTTTCTCTAAACTTCTCTTCTCACTTCATTTCATTCATTTGATCTTCAATCACTGATACCCTTTCTTCCACTTGATCAAATCGGCTACTGAAGCTTGTGCATGTGTCACGTAGTTCTCGTGCTATGGTTTTCAGCTCCATTGGCTCATTTAAGGACTTCTCTACACTGTTTATTCTAGTTAGCCATTCATCTAATCTTTTTTCAAGGTTTTTAGCTTCCTTGCGATGGGTTCGAACATCCTTCTTTAGCTCAGAGAAGTTTGTTATTACCGATCGTCTGTAGCCTTCTTCTCTCAACTCATCAGAGTCATTCTCCATTTAGCTTTGTTCCATTGCTGGCGAGGAGCTGCAGTCCTCTGGAGGAGAAGAGGCGCTCTTATTTTTAGAATTTTCAGCTTTCCTGCTCTGGTTTCTCCCCACCTTTGTGGTTTTATCTACCTTTGATCTTTGATGATGGTGATGTACAGATGGGGTTTTGGTGTGGATGTCCTTTCTGTTTGTTAGTTTTCCTTCTAACAGTCAGGACCCTCAGCTGCAGGTCTGTTGGAGTTTGCTGGAGGTCTACTCCAGACCCTGTTTGCCTAGGTATCAGCAGCAGAGGCTGCAGAACAGTGGATATTGGTGAGCAGAAGTCAGTGTGGCGATTCCTCAGGGATCTAGAACTAGAAATACCATTTGACCCAGCCATCCCATTACTGGCTATATACCCAAAGGATTATAAATCATGCTGCTATAAAGACACATGCACACATATGTCTATTACGGCACTATTCACAATAGCAAAGACTTGGAACCAACCTGAATGTCCAACAATGATAGAATGGATTAAGAAAATGTGGCACATATACACCATGGAATACTATGCAGCCATAAAAAATGATGACTTCATGTCCTTTGTAGGGACATGGATGAAGCTGGAAACCATCATTGTCAGCAAACTATCACAAGGACAAGAAACCAAACACCACATGTTCTCAGTCATAGGTAGGAATTGAACAATGAGAACACATGGACACAGGAAGGGGAATGTCACACACTGGGGCCTGTTGTGGGGTGGGGGGAGGAGGGAGGGATAGCATTAGGAGATATACCTAATGTTAAATGACCAGTTAATGGGTGCAGCACACCAACATGGCACATGTATACATATGTAACAAACCTGCACATTATGCACATGTACCCTAAAACTTAAAGTATAATAAAAAAATACAATAAACTTATATAAAGTGAAATAAATAAATAAATAAATAAATCCCATATTTCTTTTTCATTTTCTATCTGGATGAATTGTCTATTGCTGGAAGTCAAGTATTGAAATACCCTACTGTCATTGTATTGCAATCTATATCTCTCTTCATATCATTTAATTTTTGATTTACATATTTTGGTGTTCCAGTATTGGGTATATATGTATTTACAATTGTTGTATCCTTTTGATGAATCCACCCCTTTATTATATAATGACCATCTTTCTCTCCTTTTAGAGCTTTTGACTTAAACTCTTTTTATCTGGTATAATATAGCTACCCCTGCTCTCTTTTGATTTCCATTTGTAGGAATGTCTTTTTTCTTCCCTTCATTTTGAATCTATGCGTTTCCTTAAAAGTAAAGTGCATTTCTTGTAGGAAGCATATAGTTGGGTCTTGTTTTCAAATATATTCACCATTATACCTCTTTTTATCAAAGAATTTATTCCATTCACATTCAAGGTAATTATGGATATATAATGACTTGCTAATATCATTTTTTAAAATTGTTTTTTGGTTGTTTTGTAAATCCTTTGTTCCTTCCTTTCTGTCTTGAGGCTTTTGACCTGCCTGTACTTACATACTTATTTTTCTCCAAATTTGGCAACTTTTCTGATATTATTTCTTTAAATAAGCTTTCTTGTGTTTTATCCCTTATTTCTTAAACTATCATAATTTGAACATTTGCTTTTTGGTGGTGTTCCATAAATCAAAGAAACTTTCCTTATTCCTTTATCTTTTTACTCTTCTGATTGTTTATTTTCAATTACCTTTATTCAAGTTCTCAGATTTTTCTGCTTGATCAATCCTGCTGTTGATGCATTTATTCATTCTATTCCTTGAATTTTTTAGCTCCAGAATTTGATTTTTTTTAAATAATTTACATCTCTCTGCCAAAATTTTTGTCTTGATCATTTGTTGTTTTCCTGATTTTGTGGATTTGCTTACATTTTCTTGAAATTCACTGAACTTCTTTAAAACAATTACTTTTAATTCTTTGTTAGGCAGTTTGTGCATGTCCATTTCTCTGGGTTCAGTCACTAGGAGATTATTTTGTTTTTTGGTGGTGGTATTCTGTTTTATTTTTCATATTTTTCATATCTTGTTGACTTACATTGATGTTCATGCATGTGAAGTAGTAGTCTTATTCCAGTCTTTGTAGAATGGCTTTTTTAAAAAGAGCATTTTACTAGTCATTCCATTTAGAGATTCTAGGTAGCCTGTCTGGCATGATCCTTAGGAGAGATTTCTGCTGGAATTGTCCAGTTGGCTGACTTGATACCTGGTTTAGCAGGTAGCTGGGCCTGGAAATTGGATCCACTGGGGTGGGCCTGTTGATTGGGTCTGTGGGTGTAGGCCTGGATCCTGGGTTGACAGAAGTTTCACTGGCACTCGGGTAGGCCTTAAGCCTAAGCCTGCAGGGGCTGGCTAGGCACTGTGATAGGCTTACCACTTGGGTCCACTGGGACAGGCTTGGATCCTGAGTCCACAGGTGTAGACCTGGTATCTGCATCTACACGGGCTGTCCTGGAACCTGGATCTGTGAGGGAAGTCCTGGAGACTCGGTCTGCAAGGGCCAATCTGTCTGTAGTGTCTACTGGGGCAAGCCTGGACCCTGGCTCCTCTGGCATCTGGGGCCACAGAAATTGACCTAGAGCCTGGGAATGGCCGGTACTGGGGCAGGCATGGAGCCTGGGCCTGTAGAGGTTGGTCTAGAGCCTGAAATTTTGAGTTCTGCCTGGGGCCTGGAGCCATAGATGTTGGCCTGGAGGCTGGGGATATGGGGATGGGCCTGTAGCCTAGGACTTCTGAAGCCAGCCTAGAGACTAGGTATGTGTGTGTGTATTGGCCTGAAGTCTAGGTCTGTGAGGGCTGGCCTGAGTCCTGGAGCCACAGGGTTTGGCCTGGAATCTGGATTCACAAGGTCAGTCCTAGAGCCTGGGTCAATGTTGGCTGGTTCAGTACTGACGTTTACTGAGCTTAGGCCCTGGGTCTGCTGGAGCTTAGGGTCACAGGAGCTGGCCTGGAGGGAGGGGCTGCTGATTCCCTGAGGCTAGAAATGCCAACCTAGCATGGAGTGGGCCAGAGGCATGAGGCTATATGGGCAAAAGTGGCTCTAGGCTGGTCTGAAACCTGGGTCAGGCCTAGAGCCCAGGGCCACAGTGTCTAGCCTAGTCCTGAGTAGACTTGGAGCCTATATCCACCAGGGCTGGCCTGGAGGGTTGTTCTGCAGTGCCGGTCTCAAGTCTCAGGCTTCAGAGGCTGGCCTGGTTCTAAGGTAGGCCTGAAGCCTGGAGACCTGGAGGTCAGCCCAGTGCTGTGGGCAGTCTGGAGCCTAGGGCCTCTGAGGTTGTCCTAGCAGTGACAAAGACACATATACCAAGTACACCAGGCCTTCCTGGAGCCTGAGGCTGTGGTATCTCTCCTGGCACTTAGGTCTGGAGGCTTAGTCCATGGATACCAGCCTAAAATCTGGGGCTGTGGGCTTTTCCTGGGGTAGGTCTAGTGTTGAGGTCCTATGCAAATTTCAGTGCTTACTTCCCTGTTTCTCCCCCATGCAAAGGGTATCTCTCTTTACTCTTTGCTGCCAGGGGCTCAGGGAGGGGTGATGTGGTTAATGTAAAACTGTCCCTCCTATCCTTTTCAACATGTCCTTTCTTATTTCTGTGTTATCTGTAGGTGCTATAATCTCTCACCTGATTTCCTTTGCTCCTGTGAAGGTAATTTTGTATATAGACACTTGTTCAAAGTGATGTTTTTGCAGATGAATGAGCTCTTGGAAGTCCTATTCTTTTCTCTTGCTGATGTCCTTCCAGGTCTTAACAAATTTTCTAATGACATTTAGTGCAAGGTGACCCTTGGCCCATATAGGAACAATAGCCACAGGCTACGACACTGATATTTAGTGATTGAATAAGTAGTGCCCACATGAAAACTTAATCTCAATACAGAGTTCTGTTTTTTTTTAAGTGGTTTCCAGTGGCTTATATAAAAAGTGAGTTTCTAAGAGTTGAGCATGACTTATGAAGTGACCAACTTATTACTGAAGATACTGTGGTCAGAAGCAATTGCGATATTGTAGATTCTTTTACAAACATTGCTGTACTAAAAAACCTTAATTATAGCCAACCTTGGAGGACAAAACAGAGAGTGAGAGTAATGACAGCAGAAACCCCAGGTTACAGCAAAAGGTCACTGCAAAGAAGTTATGCTTTTAAAGCTCTATCCTAAAATAATCTGGACGTTTTAAATATGCACAAATTATTGTAATTCTTGGAATTTCTGCCTTAGAAAGAATTACAATTGAGCTTGTCTAAAAGGAAAATCATCTTCAAGCATAGCCTTTGGAATGAGTGATGGTTACATAGATGAGAAGAAAAATACATGAAAGAAGGAATGTGACAAGGATAAAAGATGATTCTTCCTATATTGGCACTTTGAACGCAAGTGATTGGAACCTGCTATGAAAGCAAAGGTGTTAGACTGAGAACAAAATGGTGTGCATTGTGTCACACTTGGTGACATTTGGAAGATTACCTACTTGTGCAGGTGTGTGTGTGTGTGTGTGTG